>NC_000014.9:70672319-70823834 GCF_000001405.40 Homo sapiens | reverse complement strand
TCCATTTCTTCAGAGCTGGAAGAGATGTGAGAATGATCTGGTGCAATCCCCTGCACCATGGTTGGTATGGATGGGTATCCCCATGTTATAAATGAGGCAACCGCGGCCGAGAGAAGCTGCAGCCAGTCCTTGGGGACGCGGCACCCAGGACTGCTTCTCCTAGAATTCAAGATGCTTCTTTTCTTTCCTCCCTTTTAGGTTTCAAATCTCTATTTCAGGCAATACTTGATATATTATGTATTTATAATTCAAGTTTTCAGACTTTTCTTAGCAGCAGGTTATAAAAAGGAGAGAAGCAGAAGCTGAGACAGGGAGGAAGCAAACAGAATGGGGCAGAGGTGGGAGTGGGAGGCTGAAGGCTTCCAGGAAGATAAGCTTCCTCGACTGTTAGTGGATTCCGCATCTGCGGCAATTCTACCCCCATCCGGACTAGAGGCTTTGGGACTACTGAGAACCAGGACCACCTATTTTCACAGCAAATGCCTGGAAGGAACCCAGGTGTCACATGTTGAGGGTTTATCAGAATAAATGGCTGTTATTTTCTTTTCCTCTTCCCTTTCCTTCTCACCTACCCTTATTAGTGATCTAGTGTCATAGCTGCAGAGTGACAGCAGGGAGACAGGAGTGAGCGGAGAGTGTGGGACAGAGGGGAAGAAAGAGAAACAGGCCATACGCAGACCTACAGGCAGCTCCTGAGCTACCCAGATCGCTTCTCCTGTACAGGAAGAGCTGCTGGCCCGAGGGAAGGGAAGAGGGGGTCCCTGTTGGAGCAACTGGAGTGGCAGGAGGCGAGTGGGTCGAGGGAGAGTTATTAATATGCACTAGAACACATATTTACAACTGGTGGCTTAAATTAAGGGCAGCACATTCACACCTAGCTACTCCCAGGCTTCCCACAAAGACATCTGAAGCGTGCAAAGCGCGCTCCCTGAGCCCAGCCCACCAAGGGGCGCGGCCCGCCTTGGTAGGGACAAGGTCTCTGGCGCTGGCCTGAGCGGCTGCGGGAGTTCGCTCCTGGGAGAGCGCAGCGAAACCGAGGGCATCCTTCCCTGTAAGAGGAGGGGGCGGAGGAAGGGAGGAGGGGAGGAAGGAAGGAGGGGAGGAGGGGAGGAGGAGAGGAGGAGGGAAGAAGGAAAGTGGGGGTGAAGGGAAGGAGGAAAGGAGGCGGGGAGGGAGAGACGGAGGAAGAGAGGGTGGGAAGAAGGAAGGAGAGAGAGAGGGCGAAGAGGGGAGAGAGGGGCGAACGAGAGAGATGTGGGGAGAGGGGAGAGGAGAGGGACGGGGCAGGGGAGGGGAGAGCGAGGGAAGAGAGAAAAAGAGAGAACGCAAGGGGGTCGGGGAGAAGAGAGAGGAGAGCGAGAGAGAGCGGGAGGAGAGGGGGAGGGAGAGAGACGGGGGAGAGCGAGACAGAGCGTGGGGAGACGGGGAGAGGGGAGAGCGAGAGAGCCAGGGGAGACGAGGAGCGAGCGAGAGGAGAGGGGAAGAGAGAGAGAAGGGGGAAAGCAAGAGAGTGGGGGGAAAGCGAGAGAGAGAGAGGGGAGAGACAGAGGGCGGGGGAGAGCGAGCGCGAGCGAGGGGAGGGGAGAGAGAGAGGCGCGCGCTGGTTGCTCCCGCGAAACCCTAAGCTCCGCCAGCGCTATTGCCCCTCCCGCTGCCAGCCCCGCGTCCACGTGGGGAAACTGTCCCTCCTGTGCCGGGAAGAAACGACTCACCGCCTTGCAGAGGCGCGGAAGCTGTGCGCGGGACGCCACGGCCCCGAAGCCGCGAGTGACCGCAGCTCCGATCCCCCGGCGGGAGGCCTGCCCGAGCGTGGGAGCCGAGCCCAGGGCCCTTTCTCCGCACTGGCTGCGGACCTAACCCTTCCTGGGCCCCTCCTCCCCCTGGGGAGAGAACGTCAGCGCCGAGGATCCTGATGCGGGGGCGCGGTGGCGCCGACCGAGAGCCCGCCCGGTCCCCGTGTTGGGGGGCAGAAGGGGAGGGGTGGGCCGCAAGGGGCGGAGAGGGCCCGGCGTCCCAGCTGGGATGGAGTTACCAGAATGGGGTTCGAGGCAGCCTAACCCTCCGCGCTGAGTCCTGGAAGGCAGCCTCTGTATGTAGCTCGGTGCATTTTGCACGAAGATAGGCTGCTCCCGGCGGGGTAGGGGGTCGGGGAAAGGTCCTCCTGGGGGTAAACTGATCAGAGAGCCGATAATGGATTCTGGCTCCGACACACGCCACCCCTGCTTGCTTAGTGGCTCTGCACCCCACTTTTTATATAAAGTGGTTATTCAAAGTACCTAGCACATAGGTTTTTTGGTGAATATTGAATGGGAAGGGCAGGTGAAGTCCTTGGCACAGGCCCGGCACACCGACCGATGGACCCAAGAATGTCAATTATTTTTGCTGTTATTCCCTCCAACCTCAGCTGTCCTTTCTCAGAAGCAAAGCTAGGAGACACCAGAAGAGCCGGTGCGAAAGTTTGGCTTGTTTTAACATAAAACCCACACTCCCTAAGGAAGTGGATTCTGAGTGGGAAAAGCTTTGGAGTCAGAAGCAGGAACCCCTGATTGGGTCTTGGGCTTCTGTTCCTTAGTACTGTTCCTTAGTACTTAGCCACACTGAATAAACTCCCTGGGCTTCCGTTTCCTTATTAGTAAAATTGGCTAAAAAGTCCCAACCAGGTAGTACGATCCCTTCTGCCTTTATTGAGGGCTCACTATGTTCTAGGCACTGCTCTTAGGGCTGCCTCCGTATTATCTCAGTTAATCTCTAAGCTAGTTTAGGAGGTAGTTAGGATTATTTAAAATCTCCATTTTGCACTTGAAGAAACCAAGACTTAACAGAGAGGCTAAGTAAATTGTCCTAGACCACACAGTGAGTCATGGCAGAACTGGACAGAACTGAGATTCAACTCAGGCAACCTGGTTCCAGAGTCTGTATTTTTTTTTTAATAGACAAGGTCTTACTCCCTCTCCCAGGCTGAAGTGCAGTGGCGCAGTGGTGCCATAGCTCACTGTAACCTTGAATTCCTGGTAGCTGGGACCACAGGTGTGCACCACTATATCTGGCAAAGTTTTTAATTTTTTGTAGAGACAGGGAGGGACTCACTTTGTGGCCCAGGTTGGTCTTGAACTTCTGTCCTCAAGTGATCCTCCGGTTTTGCCTCCCAAAGCATTGGGATTATAGGCATGGGTCACTGTGCCTGGCCTCAGAGTCTGTATGTACTCTTAGTCAGTATACTGGCACCTGTCTGTAAAAGTGTTTTCTGAACTCTAAAATAGTATATAAATGTTGGCTGTGATTACAGTGAGTGGTACAGTTGGTAGGTCGGTGGCTTCGTCTTCGTATACTAATGGAGGGTATGTCTATCAGTGCCCAACCTACTGCCTAGTACTCAATAAGCTGTCAGTCACTCTGCCATCCCTTGCCCACATCCCAGGAAGGAGTGTACCCATGCAAAAGAATGGCAATTCCATCATGTACAGAGCTGGGGAAGAGGGCAGACTATAAGATAACGAAGAGACATCATGAAGCTGCAAGCAATTGCACCTGACCTGGGTATCAACAAAACCCCAGGAAGCAAAGATGGGAAGGCTTCAGGTTGGAATCTCCCCTACTTTTCATAAAACACAAAGCACAAGAGAGTTTCCCTGATGTTCCACCGGCCAAGCAGGCTTCTCTCTGGGGCTCCCACTGACTTCACAAAGGGCTCCATCCAGTAACCCAGAGAACAGGCAACTGTCTTAAAGGTCTCATCAGTGTCAGGAGACTCATGTCTCATGTCTGTGAGCAAAAGATTCACAGCCTTCAACTAGGAAAGGAATAGCCACTTAAAAGGTCTCCTTGAGTAGAAATCTGGAAAACCACGTTAAAGGAGAAAGTATTTTATTATTTGAGTCTGAATGTTTTCTAATCATTATTGCGCCCTTAGTCATTTTATAGAGTTAAGGTTCTCAGGGACTAGACTGTTGTCATTTAACAGTTCTTGAATGAACTCCAGATGATGTAATCAACTGCCCACTTGACATCTCCACTTGGGTATAGAACAGTGATCTCAAACTTATCATGTCTAACATTAAACTGGTGAGATTTGCCCCCAAACCAGCTTTTCCCACATTCTCCGTTAATGGCAACGCCAGCCTTCCAGTTGCTCAAACCAAAAACCTTGATGTCATCCTTGACTCCTCTCTTTCTTTTATTCCCTTTCTGATTCATCAGCAAACCTGGTTGGTCTACCCTCAAAATGTATTTCTAAATTCTGGCCACTTTTGACCATACCCATTGTCACCTCCCTTTTCTAATTTGCTGTTATCCCTTGACAGGCTTACTGAATAGTCCCTTCCTCTCACAGTCCCCGCACTTGCTTTCTGAAGCCTGTTGCAAACCCAGTAGCCAGAGTGATCTTGTTGAAAAGGCAGACCACACCACTCCTCTGCTCATTGAAATCATCGGTGTGGCAGGGCATGGTAGCTCACGTCTGTAATCCCAGTACTTTGGGAGGCCACAGCAGGAGAATTGCTTGAGCCCAGGGGTTCGAGACAGTCTGGGCAACATAGTGGGACCTTGTCTCTACAAAAAACAAAACAAAGCAAAACAACGACAACAACAAAAATTAGCTGGGTGTGATGGCGCATGCCTGTAGTCCCAGCTACTCAGGAGGCTAAGGTGGGAGAACCGCTTGAGCCCGGCAGGTTGAGGCTGTAATGGGCTGAGATCACGCCATTGCACTCCAGCCTGGGCAACAGAGTGAGACCTTGTCTCAGAAAAAAACAAAAACAAAAACAAAAACAAACCTCTTCAATAGCCTGTCTCATTTAAAGTAAAACCAAAGTCCTCCTTTGACCTGAAGGACCCCATGTGAACAGGCCACCCTACCTCTTATAGCTCTTACTACCCTTGAGTTTGCTATCTTTTCATGAATACACAGGCATTTTCCTGTCTTAGGGCCTTTGCACTACCATGCAGTTTGCCTGAATGCTCTTCCCCTGTATCTGTATGACTGGTTTCCTAAATTCTTTCAGGTGTTTTTACTCAAAAGTCACCTTGTTGGCCGGGTGCCATGGCTCACACCTGTAATCCCAGCACTTTGGGAGACCAAGGCAGGTGGATCACCTGAGGTCAGGAGTTCAGGACCAGCCTGGCCAACAAGGTGAAACCCTGTCTCTACTAAAAATACAAAAATTAGCTGGGCATGGTGGCATGTGCCTGTAGTCTCAGCTACGTGGTGGCTGAGGAAGGAAAATCACTTGAACTGGCAGGCAGAGGTTGCAGTGAGCTGAGATCATGACATTGCACTGCAGCCTGGGCCACAGAGTGAGACTCTATCTCAAAAAAAAAAAAAAAAAAGTCACCAGTCACCTTATCAAGGAGGTTTTCTCTGGCCACTCAGAAAAGTAGCCCCTCCTAACATTTCGTATCCCCCTTCCCTTTTATTTCTTCTTTGCATTTACCCCTCTCTAATCTGGTATTATATATTTTAGTTGCTTACTTTGTTTCCCCCATTAGAACATGAGCTTTATGAAGGGAAGAGATGAAGGGATTTTTGCAGGAAGGGATTTTTGTTTGCTGTGTTCACTATTTTATCTCTAGTGCCTTGAATGGTGCCTGACATGTAGTAGACACGTGTATAAATATTTGGTGAATAAACGAATGAGTAGAATAAAAAACGAAGGACCCCAAATTAGCGCAGACCTTTTAGCAAGTCACTTATCCTCTCTACACTTCAGTTTCTTTGAATGTGAAATTGAGTTTTGCATAAGACAGCTCCGTTTCCCTCCAGCTATGTGCAGACATCCCTGAGTTAACTTGAAAAGCTGGGAGCACAAAGGGTGAAGATTTGGGTTCAAGCCCCAGTAACATCACTTGCCTGAGTCTTAGTTTCCACACTTAGTTAGCCCACACAACAAATTGAAAGGGCTCCACCCAGCGACCGCGAAGGTTATTCTAGTTCTTAACTAGAAAAAGCGTAATTATAAAAGGAAGAAGGCGCCATACCCCTCAATACCACACGGCGGCGCAATGGTCCACCTTTGTCTCTAAGAGGGCACTGCTGTGCCAAGTCCGTTATGAAACAGCCACCACTACCGTGCAATGTGTTATTCAGACAACTGTGACGGTTGCTCATTCCTCAGATCTTATTGGTTTGTTTAAATAACAAAAATATTTAAATTGTTACTGTTTTAGATAAGAAGGCACAACTCTCAAAACCAAAACAGAGAGCTTACGTTTGAGTTCAGTCTTGCCAACGTGATTTAAAGACCAAGGTTTGCCGGGCGCTGTGGCTCACGCCTGTAATCCCAGCACTTTGGGAGGCCGAGGCGGGCAGATCAGCTGAGGTCAAGAGTTCGAGACCACATGGTGAAACCCCGTCTCTACTAAAAATAGAAAAATTAGCTGGGTGTGGTGGGTGGGCGCCTGTAATTCCAGCCACTCGGGAGGTTGAGGCAGGACAATCGCTTGAACCTGGGAAGGCGGAGGTTGCAGTGAGCGGAGATGGCGCCACTGCACTCCAGCCTGGGTGACAGTGTGAGCCTCCGTCTCAATAAATAAATAAATACAGACCAAAACGTTTGAAAAGCTAAAGTCTAAATCCGTGTCAGGTAAGGGGTGCCACAGCCATGCTAACTTAGTCCACATATGTGTCTGCACATAACCAAGAATTTCCCTCCATGAGGTATGAGGGGTGAGGAGTAAAGGGACTGTTTGGATTCCAAGACTTTTGTTTGCTTGGAAGAAGCCGTTAAAGCGTCTAGCAAATAAAAAAGACTGTGAACCTAAGCAAGCCGTTAAGTAACAGGAGTCATTGTCATTATTGTTACTTATTAGTAGTGTCATCCTCAGCTTCTGTTTTCCTTCCTCCACCATCTCTCCAACTAACAATAATGATTTTAGTTTGAATTTTGTATTTAAAAAGATAAAAGTGATTTTGTAGTTCTTTATTACAATTACACAAATATCACATGGTTATTTTTGCTGTAGGAAAAAGAAAAGTAAAATGAAGGTGACATAGTTTGGCCGTCTGTCCCCGCCCCAATCTCTTGTTGAATTGTAATCCCCAATGTGGGAGGTGGGGCCTGGTGGGAGGCGATTGGATCATGGGGGCGGATTTTTCATGCATGGTTTAGCACTATCCCCTTGGTGCTGTCTTCAGGATAGTGAGTTCTCATGAGATGTGATTGTTTAAAAGGGTGTGGCACCTCCCCCGTTACTCTCTCTCTTGTTACTGCTTTCGCCATGTGACGTACCTGCTCCTCGTTGCTTTATGCCAGGATTGGAAGCTTCCTGAGGCCTCCCTAAAATCAGATGCTGCCATGCTTCATGTAAAACTTGAAGAATCGCAAGCCAATTAAACCTCTTTCCTTTATAAATTACCTTTTCTCAGGTATTTCTTTTTTATTTTTATTTTTATTTTTTTTGAGACAGAGTCTTGGTCTGTTACCCAGGCTATCTCAGCTCACTGCAACCTCCGCCTCCTGGGTTCAAACGATTCTCCTGCCTCAGCCTCCCCAGCAGCTGGAACTACAGGCACGCACCACCTTACCTGGCTAATTTTTGTATTTTTAGTAGAGACGGGGTTTCACCATGTTGGCCAGGCTGGTCTCGAACTCCTGACCTCAGGTGATCCACCCGCCTTGGCCTCCCAAAGTGCCGGGATTATAGGCGTGAGCCACCGCGCCTGGCCAGGTATTTCTTCATAGCAATGCAAGAACAGCCTGACACAGAAGGCACTAAAAATTACCCATGCTCCACCACTTAGCTCAGAAATAGCTGTTAAGATTTTTATATTATCCACCCAACACATTTGTAATTATATTTTATAAGGATTTTTACTACTCTTTCATTTATCATTATACTGTACACATTTCCACATCATTAAAATTTTTCATAATTATCAACAATAACATGTTTTTTTATAACCTGTTTAAAATTGACAAAAAGTGTATATATTTATAGTATACAACATGATGTTTTGACATATGTATGCACTGTGGCGTGGTTAAATCAAGCTAATTACCATATGCTTTTCACATACTTATTTTTTTGTGTGGTGAGAACACTTAAAATCTACTACCTTAGCAATTTTAAAGTATAAAATATATTGTTAACTATATTGACCATGGTGTACAATAGATCTCTTGAACTTATTCCTTTTTTCTAACTGGTAACCATCATTTTCCTCTTTTTCTATGAGTTCAACTTTTTTAGATTCCACAAGATCTGTTCCATAAGAGAGTGAGAGTTCATGTGATATTTGTCCTTCTTTGTCTAACGTACTATTCTAATTAGAAAATCAGAATATTTTAATGGTAGAAAATATTAAATAGTATAGGACAAAGAAAAAAAATCACTCCTAATCTCATAATCTAGATTGGTGATAATTGCTGTTCACCTTTTGATATATTTCTTTCAATAATATTAATGCATATATATTTTTCACAAGATTAGGAATGTATTATATATATAGTTCTCTTAATTTTTCAAATTTATTTAAAAATTATTTGAAAATTACAACAGATAGATTTCTTTTTTTTTTCCACTTAACATGATTATTTTCCCAGTCATTTCATGTTCTTCAAAAACCCCGATGATAGGAATAATTTTCTCTTTCCTGAAATCTCTCTTCTTGTGATTGGATCTGTTTGAGGTCCTGGACGGAAAGGCTTGGACGAAGTCCTTGCAGACTCAGCATGGTTGTAAGCAGTATAATTTCAGAGGGCTGTCCCATGGGCTCACTCTGCAACCAGGCTGGATGAAGCAGAAATGATTTGACCTTCACTCCTTAATTAAAGGCTCTGATCATTGTTAAAATGCAACTTGCTCTCCAGAGATGCAACATTCTAAACAGCCACCCCCCCCATAGTTTATTGCTTTTCTGAACTGAGGTTTTCCTAAAAGAGGAAAGATTTCTTACCTTTTTGGTGGTTCAAGCTACATTAACTCATAATTCCTCATAGAGGAATTAAATACTATCAACTGTAATAACATTTACAATTTATTAAGCACTTATTATTATGTATTAGGCACTGCCAGGAGGACCTCTTACTTCATCTAACCTTCACAGCAACCCCATTTTATACAATCTCATGTTACCAACAATGAAACAGAGGCTCAGAGAGGTGAAAGGCCTCCCACAGTCATGACAAGTTGATCAAGACTTGTCTGGGTCTGACTCCACAGGTCTGTTCCATCAGCCCTGCCACATATCTGCCCAAACCATTTGCCTAAAATCATATTTAATGCAAATGGAGTTTATGAAACAGGAACTAGGGCTTCTTTCCTGAAATGGTACACATGAGAGGTGAAAGTGGTGGGCTGGCTCTTTTAGAAAAGGTCAAAGGGGCCAGGCACGGTGGCTCAAACCTGTAATCCCAGCATTTGAAGAGATGGAGGCAGGAGGATCACTTGAGGCCAAGAGTTTGAAGCCAGCCTGGGCAACACAGTGAGTCCTTATCTCTACCAAAAATTAACAAAATTTGCCAGGTGTGGTGGCACGCACCTGTAGTCCCAGCTACTCAGGATGCTGAGGCAGGAGGACCCACTGAGTCCAGGAGTTTGAGGCTGCCATGTGATCAGTGAGCTATGATCGTGCCACTGCTCTCCAGCCTGGGTGACACAGTGAGACCTTGTTTCTTTAAAAAAAAAAAAAAAAAAAGGTAAAAGTCTGCTTGAGGGATTTTTTTTTTTTACATCAAAGTACTAATTTTAAATATTTCCCAAAAGAATCAAGGAAAGGGTGACATTCATTAACTAAGTCACGGTTTAGGCTCAAATAATACCAGTAACTACATGCTAGATTATGTGTTAAGCACATAACATATATAAGATAGGTACAATTATCCCTAATTTCCAGGTGAGGGATCTGGGGCACAGCAGGGTTAACTTGCCTAATGGCACACAGTAAGCATAGATTCAAACTCAGTCAGAAGCCAAGACCCCAAATTCTTCAATAGTCTATGATGCCTGCCCTCTTTCTTCCCTTCCCTCCTTTCTTTCCTTCCTTTTCTCCCCTCCCTGCTTCCTTCCTGTTTTTCTCTTTTTCGTCCTTTCTTTCTTTCCCTCTCCTCCTGCCCTCCCTCCTTCCTTCACCCCTTCCTCTCCTCTCCTTTCTGTTCCTTTTTTTTTTTTTGAGAGAGAGGGTCTCGTTTTGTTACCCAGGCTAGAGTGCAGTGGAGCAATCTCAGCTCACTACAGCCTCAACATCTCTGCTCAAGCGATCCTCCCATCTCAGCCTCCCAAAAGCTAGGACCACAGGCACCACCATGCCTGGCTAATTTTTCTATTTTGTAGAGATGGGGTTTCACCATGTTGCCCAGGCTGGTCTTGAACTCCTCAGCTCAAGTGGTCCACCCATCTCGGCCTCCCAGAGGCCTCTGTTCCTTTTTCCTTCCTTCCTTCTCTCTCTTTCCTTTAGGGAAAACCCTGGGTTCAACTTTCAGTCAAGAGGCCTAGGTGTAATTAAAGAGTGTTTCTTGGGGGTAATGGGCAGGTGAAAGAAGGAAAAAAATATGTTGACTATTTGCTGGGTGTGAGCAGCAAGCTAAGAGCTTCTGCATGTCCTGTCTCATTTAATCCTGTAAACATCCATTAAAACCAGGTATTATTATTACACCTACTTAAAATTGAGGAAACTGAGGTTCAAACTGGTGTCTTGCCCAAAGTCACAGCATTTTTAAAGGACAAAGCCAGGATAAACCATGATCTGTTGACTTAAGTCTAATGCCAACTTGCATCTTGATTGCTATTTTCTCCCTTATGCTATGCTTTTCAGCGTGGTAGAGAAAATGTTTCTTTTTTGGGGTGACATCTGCCAATCCCCTCCTCAAAAACTTCATAGTGGTAAAATCTTGGTAATTCCACCTGACTTTCAAAGTCTTTTACAATCTGCCCTTCTTTTATTTCATCAGTTTTATTTCCCATCACTCCCTTTTTGCATTCTCTCCTCTTCTCTGGATGAAATTTCTATTATTGCTACCCACTACATTAATTTCTATTTCCACATCTTTTATTCTCTATTAATCAGGTTGTACATATCTTTCAATGCCCAACTTAAGCATCTCCTCATCCATTCTAGTCCTCAGGGAAGGCAGTATTTGATCACCCCACAGCCCTACTCAAAACCTTTCAGTGATAATCTTTTACATGCTGAACAAAACCAAGGCTTCTTCGCCTGGGATTCAAGTCAGCCATCCAGTTGCAAAGAAGTACTGAGAGTCAATTATGTGCTAAGCACTCTCTAGGTGCTGGGAGAGCTGTGGAGAACCAGACAGACTGGTTCCTACCCTTATGGTGGATGCACCAGACATTAAATAATTACAAATAATCAATTACATAATTACTAGTGTGAATCAAGTGATTACAGGGCCCTCTACAGTCTGGTCTCAACCTATCTTTTCAGTTCTTTCTCATCCTTCTATTCCATCCAAATGGTCCCCTCTCCATGCTTTCCTACGTCTGTGGCTGTGCCTATTCCCACCCTCCTTTCCTGAACACACTCTTCCCTGCTCCACCCCATTCCCCTCCAGGACCAGTTCTGGTTCTGCTTCTTCCATGCAACCCTGCCAGACAAGTTTAGTCTGAAAGATCTACCCTCATTTGAATTCCTAGCACTTACCCATTCAACAAATATTAACTGAATGACTTGTTGAAATGTTTGATGAATGATTCTTTATGAGATTCTAAACACATGCTATGGTATTAAAGGTTTAAGTTGCACAGGGAATTAGTTTTCCTATTGAGAAGAATCAATGATTTTTCTCCTCTCTTCCCCTCTTCCCAGGGAGTGGGAAGGAATCCACAAAACTAAATAGTAGAACATACGAAATTATGGAGAAGCAAAATGACAATAAACTTACCCAATTACTCATAATCCGACTACTTAGAGACCCACTACTGACATTTTTCTCTTTTTAGTACTTTTTTTCCTGTTTCTGTTTTGCTGTGTGTCTACAGTTTGTAAAACTTTTTTTCCCTCAAGTTAAAAAAAATTCTTTTTTTTGAGACAGGGTCTTGCTTTGTCACCAGATTGGAATGTGGTATAGCAAACACTGTTCACTACAGCCTTGACCTCCTAGGTTCAAGCAATCTTCCTGCCTCAGCCTCTCAAACAGCTGGGACTACAGGCTTGCACCACCATGCCTGGCAAATTTTAACATTTTTTGTAGAGATAGGGGTCTCGCCATGTTGCTCAGGCTGGTCTCCTTCCTGGGCTCAAGTGATCCTCCTGCCTCAGCCTCCCAAACTGCTGAGATTTCAGGCACGAGCCACCATACCCAGTCCTAAGTTAAAATTTTATCAAGACAATTATTTTCTTATGGCCTTTAAAAAAACACAATATACCTCCATCCCCACTCCCTTGCTCTCTGCTGCTTGACAGTGGAATGGTTTTGTCTAAAACAAAACCTAGATAATTTACTCAGACTCATCCATATCTTTTCCAGTTCATGGATCCTATGTATAATAGGAATCTGAGCATTGTTTTAGGTCTTTACTTAAACAGAAATCCTTTTTCAAGACCTACTCTGGATGCTTTTTAGAACAAGCCTCATCTCTCTTCTTCAAGACCTCAAATGTGTGCTATGACTATACAGTGTAGTCATATTGATGAGCGAACCACAGAATGTTCAAACTATGAGGACACAGGATATCTTCCAGTTCACTCCCCTCACTTTAAGAGTACAGTGTTAGGACACCTGCCTGAAGTCATGCAGCTGCCTAGTTATCTTTCCAAATTGCCCCGCTGTCTTTAGTTTGTGTAATAATAAACCCCAAACTAAAATTCAACAAAAGCACTCACCCTTGCTAAATAAATCATGTCTATTCCTACCACTGAAGGGGAAAAGGTAACAAAGTTTGGTAGAAGTTGGGCTAGATCCTTCAGCACTGGCTTATTTAGAAATTTCAGAGGACTAGGTGAGGTGGCTAAGGCCTGTAATCCTAGCACTTTGGGAGGCCGAGGCAGGTGGATGACTTCAGCCCAGAGTTCAAGACGAGCCTGTACTTCCAGCTACTCGGGAGGGTGAGGTGGGAGGATGGCTTGAGCCTAGGATGTTGAGGCTGCAGTGAGCCGAGATTGCGCCACTGCACTCTGGCCTGGACAACAAACTGAGACCCTGGAAGAAAAGAAAAGAAAAGAAAGGAAAAGAAAAGAAAAGAAAAGAAAAGAGAAAAAAAGATCAGAGAACCTTTCTTACTGGAAGTCAACGTTGCCACGACAGGATTAAAGCAAGAAGAAACATTATGGGCCTCCTATCTCGTCCTTAATGTTCAAAACGCAGGGTATAGCAAAGCATATAGGAAGAGGTCGTCCTCACTCGTGAACTCAGCATCGGGTTCTACGTTTATTCTGCTTTGGTTCTTCTTAATCTGACCTCTATAGACTTCGCCACGATCCAAGGTGTAATTCCAACAGGCAAAAGAAGTCTAAGGATTGTCGAAAAGGTGGCTCCCTTCAGACAGACCAAGCCCAATTCATGGCAGCGTTCCCAGCCCCAGTTTGAAGCTCAGTAAGGTGGTCTCTTGCCTTTCTGAATTCTGAAAAAAGAGTGGTATTGGAATCTCTTCTTACCGGAACCCAGGAGAGGGCGAGCTGTGGTGCAGTCCTCATAAAGGGGAGAACTGTAGTTTTCAGAGTTCTAATGAACATCCCAATGGGCCTAAAAGGCTTCAATAAGAGATGAAAGGTTCCGGGTGAGAGTGGGCGTGGGCGAAGCTGATCCCTCTAGGTCGGACTAAGGCAGAGCCAGATCCAAGAGGGAGAATCCAACTGTAAAAGGGATCTGGGGAAGAAAGAGCTCTGTTGGGGGTGCAGCCGGATGAAGAACACCGGTGCTGCTCAGTGCAGCCCCTACCCATCCATGGCAAACAAAGGCAGCTGCCTCCCTTCCAGCCTTTTAGTTTGAATGAAGGCTCAGTATTACCTTTTAGGATCCACCCTTCCCTTCTCACGCACCCAATGAGGCCGGAGCCTCTTCCTGCCGGGAGGTGCTGAACTCTCCCAGGAAACGGACAGGTGCCGCGAGCCAATGGAGGGAGCTGCGGCGGGCCAGTGGGCGGGAAGAGTGGGTCGACCTGGGTTTGAGAATGACAGAGCCCGCAATGGGGGAGGGCACGGTGCGACGGCGGCGCAGGGGGTGAGAGGGACCTGCGAGACGGCCAGCTAGGCTGCCCCAACCACGGCGGAGGAACCGGGGACTGGGCGGCCGCAGCCAATGGGAAGGCAGCGGGCGCGGGGCGGGGCGGGCGTGGGGCGGAGCCCCCTGGGGTCCGCAGGGCTGGGGCGGAGCCAGGCCCGCGTCAGGTGGTCCCGGCGAGCTGGCGGTGCGGGGGGCGGGGCACGGCACGGCGCGGAGAGGAGAGCGGCGGCCGGCTGGCAGCGGCGGGCACCGGCTGCGCGAGCAGGTACCGGCGGCAGAGGTGACGAGGCCGCCCCCGGGGGGGCGAGCGGGCAGGCGGGGACTCGGCCCGCTGCGCCCCTAGGCTGCGCGAAGAGCTCGCGCTCGGCGCTCTTCTCGTACCGCGGTAACAGCGCCGGCGAGCCGGCTCTCCCAGCCCTGCCAGCCCGGGCCCTACCTGCGGCCGCCGTCGTTGGGGGGGGGTCCTCCCAGCTCTGCGGAGGCGCATGAACAATAGGCGGCGGCGGCTCCTGCGGGCGGCGGCGGCCCCGCACCCTATGGATCGGCCGCTCCATGGAGCCCTCCAGAGCGCTTCTCGGCTGCCTAGCGAGCGCCGCCGCTGCCGCCCCGCCGGGGGAGGATGGAGCAGGGGCCGGGGCCGAGGAGGAGGAGGAGGAGGAGGAGGAGGCGGCGGCGGCGGTGGGCCCCGGGGAGCTGGGCTGCGACGCGCCGCTGCCCTACTGGACGGCCGTGTTCGAGTACGAGGCGGCGGGCGAGGACGAGCTGACCCTGCGGCTGGGCGACGTGGTGGAGGTGCTGTCCAAGGACTCGCAGGTGTCCGGCGACGAGGGCTGGTGGACCGGGCAGCTGAACCAGCGGGTGGGCATCTTCCCCAGCAACTACGTGACCCCGCGCAGCGCCTTCTCCAGCCGCTGCCAGCCCGGCGGCGAGGACCCCAGTTGCTACCCGCCCATTCAGTGTAAGGCGAAGGCGGGGCCGGGCGGGGAGGGGGAATGACGGAGGCCTGGGGGGCGGTCGGGGAAGGGGGGAGCACTGCGCGAGGGCTGGGATGAGGGCGGGGGGTGGGGAGGACGATTGACCTGGGTGTGGGTGGCGCGCGCTTAGGCTGCCCGGGCTTTGCTTGCTGGATAAGCTCGAGACGCCTCAGGCCCTGCCCGCACTTCAGACGCTTGGGCTTCTTCACCTTCAGTTGGCCACCTCAGCAGTGGCTCCCGATTTCCACATCCTGAAGTCCCAGTCTGAGAATTTGCCAGTTTCCCAGTCCCTTCTCTTACCCACCCCCCCGCCGCCCCCCATTCCCAATCTGGAAGTGTTTATGGCAAGATGGTGGTTAGTGTCCTAGCCTTAGTCCCCAAATCAGGGACCTTGCCACCACCTCTTCTAACGCCTGTCCCCGCCTCCTAAAGGCATTTGCTTTCAAAGAGATGGGGGTGTCTCCGCAGGGCTGAGCTGGCTCACAAGTCCCGGAAGCATGTGTGAACTCAAGGCTCAGTTGCCTGTAAAATGTCGGGTTGATTTCTTGGATCCTATTTCTTATATCTCAGAAGTTGTACCTTTAGGAGTCTCACTGATTAATGTGCTAAGAGGGATGTGTGTGTTGAGAGTGGGGGTGAGACAAGTGATGATTAGAGAGGAAAAAGTATGTCGTTCCCCCATGGGAGATCAGGATTGCAAGGTACAGTGGCTGAATCCCAGTCCTTTGACAGTGAGGCTGTTTGGGAAATACATTTTCTTCTTTCTTCTCATTCTAGATCCTTGCCTATCTTTGGAACTGGTCAAATCTCAGGGGGACCATGCTCAGGGGTCCCTCCCAGGGCCTTTCTCCCAGTGTCCTGGTTTCCGTCAATTTTCCAGGAGCCCCATATTTCATACCCTATAATGAAATCTTCTTTTTTTTTCAAGGGAGTTAAATTGCCATCACAATCCCTTAATCATACTAGTTTATTTCAGAAAAAAACATGTAAATATCTCTTTAGTGCAGTTTACACTATTTTGTATTTGAGAGTTTCCATAATCTCTTATCTGTTAAAAAGGTATTGTTAATATGTATTAATTACTGTTTATTCCTTATTTTGTATACTTTCATCTTAGTTGATTTTTTAAAACGTCATTAGCAAGGACCAACTTTAAATATTTAAATATTAAGATTTCCTTTGTAACAGTTACGTTTTTGGCTCTGTAAGTTATTTTTTACCCCAGCAATTGTGTTACTTTAATCTTGAGTTTTTTTGTTTTTTTGAGACAGTCTCGTTGTCTCCCAGGTTGGAGTTCAGTGGTGCAATCTCAGCTCACTGCAACCTCTGCCTCCCGGGTTCAAGCAATTCTCCTGCCTCAGCCTCCTGAGTAGCTGGGATTACAGGCGCCCGCCACCATGCCTGGCTAATTTTTGCATTTTTAGTAGAGATGAGGTTCACCATATTGGCCAAACTGGTCTCGAACTCCTGACCTCAAGTGATCCGCACGCCTCGGCCTTCCAAAGTGTTGGATTACAGGCGTGAGCCACCGTGTCTGGCCTATCTTTAGATGTTTTTTAAAAACTAGCACATAATATCAAAATCATAGCCTCTTCGCTTGTTTTTCTGCTCTTCTTTTTCTGTTGGTGTTTTGACTATCAAATCGATGTTCAAATCTTTAGGTTCCCCCTCTCCCTCTCATTCAGTTTAAAACTTCATTTTTCTTCATTTTGATCTTTAAAATGCCTGGAGGTAGCAAATTACTTTAAATTGTTTCCAGATACTACATCTTTTTGGGACTAGTTTGGTAGCCTTAAGGCTAAGCATCCTGGCATAGTGTTTTGAAAGTGTTGAAAATGAACTTGGTCATATATTGGAAGAAATATGAATAGCCTGGCATGTTAGAAAACAGTGTCATTTTAAACATAAGTCAGATTTTGATTCTGTGGGTGAAGTTTTGTGATTTTGTTTTCAGGGACAGCTAATGTCAAAGCAGAAGAGCTAGGTGAGGTTCGTGATCAGGAACTCGGTTTCTTCAATATCTTGTGCTCTGGCTGCTAGAGCAGTCAAGAGTCAGTATGACTTAGGCTGAAAAACTGTCCACAGAGCTAGGCATGGCAACAGCGTGCTACTTTTTCATTTGGTGGCCAGGACTTATCTTCATTGTCATACAAGTTATCTTGGATAGAGTGGATTCCTAAATCTGGAACCCAGATGTTGAGAAAGTAGGAAGTAACTTGTTCTAATGGAAAGAATTAACTTGAAGAATATGGCATTTGAAAGACCTGACACGTTCTTTTATTTGGCCTCACTAGGAGTTCTGATCTTGACTAGAATTAATTTTTGATAATTCAGAAAATTTAGTTTCAGTCAAAAACTAATTATTGAGTACCTAGTGAGTGATAGATACTGTACACTGTGTTAAGTACCAGGACATAAAGAAGTGATAAGATCAGAAGTTGCTTATAAGTTACATGAGGGAGATTAAGTATGTAAATATAAAACTTCAGTGCAGTGCCTTGGTTCATCAGAGGGTGAACATGGGCGGTCATTGAAGTCTATGTGCTCTACCAGATCAGTTTGTGTCACTCGGAAAGTGAAGACGATTGACAAACCTTGTCTCCGAAGACTTGGAATGAAATTGAGCCACTGACACTTCATCGCCAGAGTTACCCTTTTGAACTTCTCCTCTGAGCATGTGTTGTGACGTTGCATTCTGGACCATGAATAGAAGACATTAAGTCAAGCAATACTGTTCAGCTTTAGTTTCATATTATTGCTTCTTAAAGTGAAAATTTAGCTTCAAACTTTATTTAAAAGCTTTTTTTGTTTTTTTAATTTTTAGAGACAGGTTTTCACTCTGTCGCCCAGGCTGAAGTGCAGTGGCATAATCATAGCTCATTGCAACCTTGAACTCCTGGGCTCAAGAGATCCTCCCACCCCAGCCTCCCAAAGAAGCTGGGACCAGAGGCGCATGCCACCATGCCCAGCCAATTATTTTTATTTACTTTTTTAACAGAGGTGAGGTCTTGCTTTGTTGCCCAGGCTGGTTTCAAACTCTTGGCTTCAATCATTCCTCCCACCTCAGCCTTCCAGAGTGTTGGGATTATAGGCATAAGCCACTGTATCTGGCCTCAAACTTTATTCAAAACAGAAGGGGAAATTACTAAATATTATGACAAAGAAAACATATAAAAATGATATTATAAATCATTTTACATTCATATAATGCTTTAATCCTCTCCATTGTAGGTACTTGTTAGAGTTTAGCTGTCTATGGATGACAAGTATAAATAACCCAGGAGCTCATCCATCGTCTTTATTTTAGTGAAAGATGAAAAATGTACAGTTCCAAACTCATTATCTTGGGAGATGCAATCCTAGGTATTATATGAAAGTTTCTCTAACAAGAGAGTTGTTTCAGTTTTCAAACAGGGCATACATTAAGGTTATTAGTTTATGTTTTTTATTATCTACATCCACTAGAAATAGAAGGACATATTTTCAGATGTACCTAAGATTTTTGAGTGAAGTATATAACATTCACTTACTCAAAACCCACCAAAATATGCCTAAACATTCAGTTTCCAAGCATACGATTGAGAGGGAATAACATCTTGACTTTAAAAATGGAAGAACTAAGGATTTATTCCTGATATTCCTGGAAATATCCTTCCACAGAAACTGAAAAATGTGCTGAATGCAGCTTGACCTGATTCTTACTTAAAACCAGGTCTTGACTGGAGCAGGGAAGGGAAGGAGAGCCCCACATACTCTGCTGCAGCTGAAGGTCTAGTTCCTTCGTTCCTATCCACAGGGACTGAGCAGGGAAGGAAAAAGAAGGTCCTTCCTCCCTCCCTTCTTTCTGGGTTCTGTCTTTTATCTGCTTGAAAGTTGTGTTCTATACTTTTCTTGGAGTCAGGTCATAATATTTGCTTAACTAAATAGCAAGAACCTGAGATTTTTATGTTCTACTCAAAGAGAGGTTATTGCTTTCCCTTCCCTGCAGAGGTTTTTAGAGGAGCTGTCCTTTCAGCACCCTAGTACTGAATCATGTCTTTTAAACCTCCCTGCATTTATTTTTTCAATCCCTCCTGCATTTAAATGAATATTTAACACCTACTGTGTGTTTACAACTATGCTTAAGACTGGAGGAAAGAAGGGAGGGTACAAGAGAAAGTACAATAGTTAAAATTCCCTTAAGGAGAATTCAGATACTCAGTTGAGGAAATAAGAAAACAGATACAAATTTGTTAAGTAATCACACATCTTTTCATATGTGTAAAAGCTGCTAGAAAAACATGAATGTTCCTCCCTCCATGACCAGGAAGACTCTTAACATGTATTTCTCCAAGAGAGTTTCTAATCTTTCTTTATAACATAGGCATATTTTTCTCATTCATATAGATGACATCAGGCACAAGTTAGTAATAAGTCTGGATTCATTCTGGGGCTCAGAAACTCTCAAGCTATTTTGAGCAAGAAAGAGATTTAGCACAGGAAATTCTGTGCTTGCAGAATTGTTGGAAGGGCTGAGAGAAGAGGCTCTCAGCTGGACCTATGTGAACAACTCCCAGAACATAGCAGAACTGGCCCACCAGGTCAGCTGCTACTTCTCTAATTGGGAACATACAGAATCAGGAGCTGCCATTGAAGCTGTTGGCTTCAAAAACACCCTGTTGTGTCTGCAGCCCAGAGATTAGGCAACCACTTGGCTATGAAACATTCCTCTCCACATCTACAGACTTAGTGATTGGACACCAACATGCTGATGCAAAAAATCCCTGCAGCAAGAACATGGTCTTCATCTCACTTCTGCCTTTCAAATATTGTGCATCTAATTGGCAGAATTTAATCTGCATTCAGAACTTTAGCTGTAAAGGAGTCTGGGAAATGTAGTTTTTAGCTTCCTAGCCTCTGTAGTACTGAAATTTGTGCTAGAAGGATTATGGAATGGATGCCGATTGCTAGTCTACAATGTTCTGCCATGACATTCATTCTTCAGGAAGATTGCTGGATAAGGTGATAACCTCTTTAAACAGTTGGAATTTTGAGGTCAGGATGGGCTATACTTTTTGTATATCTAAAGACTATCCACTAACATCCACCTAAGAGTTTCCTTTGTGCAGACTGCCAGTTGCATTACAAAATACAGATGGGCTAACCTCAGATGGGATAGAGGTGCTATAATTAAGCAAGAACAGATTTTTTAGCACCACCAGCATCTGAGTGGAGAACGGAGGCGTTACAGGGCTGGCTGAGTAAGGAAGGGAATAGTCAGCAGTGGCAGTTCCTCTTTTGGTCTTGCCAAAAGTTCAGAAATGTATCTTTGTTTTCTTAGTTTTTTTTTTTTCAGTGAAGTGTGATTATTTTCTGTATTTGTTTCAGAAGGTCTAGTTCCAGTTCAGTTTTTTTTTTTTTTTTTTTTTTTTTAAGATCTGAATTTGGTTTATTTCCTCCTGAGATAGTGTGTTAGTCCATTCCTGCATTGCTATGAAGGAATACCTGAGGCTGGGTAATTTATAAAGAAAAAAAGTTTAACTGGCTCACGGTTCTGCAGCCTGTACGGGAAGCATGGCACCAGCATCTGCTTGGCTCTGGTGAGGCCTCAGGGAGCTTTTATTCATGGCGGAAGGTGAAGTGGGAGCAGGCATGTCACGTGGTGGGAGCCAGGAGCAAGAGAGAAAAACCAGATAGGTGTCACACTCTTTTAAACAACCAGATCTTGTGTGAATTCGAGCAAGAACTCACTCATTACTGTGAGGAGGGTGCCAAGCCATTCATGGGGGATCGGCCCTCATGACCCAAACACCTCCCACCAGGCCCCACCGCCAGCACTGGGGCTTACATTTCAACATGAAAATCAGAGGGTTCAAATATCCAAACCATATCAAGTAGATTTTTTTTCCATTTTATTTCAAGGATCTCTTGGTTACCTACAAAATGTTTGGCATGGCAAGTGCAGTGGTGAATAGGGCAGACAGAATCTCTGCCCTTGTGGGTCTCATAATCTGGCCTGGACAATAGGCATTGAACAAGTAATTAAGTAATTATAATCTTGATGCCTCTTGTGGAATGGAAACTGCCATGGAAGTGTTTGATAGGGGCCTGACCTCATTTGGTCTTGGTGATGGAGAAGTTCCACTATGAAACTGATATTTAAGACCTGAGGTATGAGTATGAATCAGCCAGGTAAAGACAAAAGAAAAAAGAAGATAGAGAACAGGGTTTCATGCAAGAAACAAAACACACTTTGCTCATATAGCACTTAGCACCACATGTAGCTCGCTTTATAATCACTGGCAGCTATTATTATCTACCCATGAAAGCCTTTCCACACACAACAAAATATATAATCAAGTACCTTAGGTTCAAATTCTGGATTTGGGAAGGAGAATGATTGGTTGGGATACTGGGTGGGATACTGGGATCATCAGGGCTTGAACTGAGGCACAGATGACTGCTGGAGTAAGATATCTCTTATGAGGCTCCTTTCCCATGTTTCAGTCTCCAGGTCCAGGTAGAACCAAGTTCTGAAAGTCTCCCAAATTGACTGCGTACTCCCTATATTCACTGCTGCTGAGGTTCAGACCTCTGAGCTGCAAGGCCTCCTTAGGGGGTCCTTTTGCTGTTGGGTCTGTGTCCTCCAGGTTAGTTTCCAGTGGCTGCCAGAGTTGATTTCCTTTCTAAATTACAGGTCTAACAACATTCCTTTTCTGAAAGATACATGACTCCTCTTGTTTACAATGTGATGTTCAAGCCCCTCAGAATGGCTTTAAAGACATTTCCTGGCCTGGTTACCCTCAACAAGGCTTTGAGCCTCGTCTCCAATCCTGATGCACATGACCTGGCCACAGCAGACTCCCTGGAGGTCCTAATATACCGTATACTTCGTACTCCATGTTCTTGGCTCCTGTCCTTCCGTCTGCCTGATTGTCCTTCCCTGCCCTGATTTCCTTCATCGCCTGAGATCTCTCCCACTCACTCTTTAGGGCCAATTTCAAATGTTGCCTTCCCTGAGAATCCTTTCCCCACTCACCCCCTTAGTGCTCTGTGCTGCTGTGGGAGCTAGTGATTTTCCTAAGCCTCTAATCATACTTCTGCAGAAGCTCTTCTCATCCTATGGTTTGGTTGTTGGGTGTCTGCCTTGGCACTGAGTTGGGTGCTTCTCACCACTGAGTACACAGTAAAGCTGAGTAAGTCTCAAAGAAAGGATCTCGGCCAGGTGCAGTGGCTCATGCCTGTAATCCCAGCACTTTGGGAGGCCGAGGCTGGAGGATTGCTTGAGCTCAGGCATTCAAGACCAGCCTGGGCAACATGGCAAAACCCCATCTCTATATTTAAATGTATTTTAAAGGAAGAAAGAAAAGAAAAAAAAGGACCTCTCCCATATTCCCTTTAGTGACAATAGTTGGTTTTGGTACAGGATTCTGCATGATTTTCCAGGTGGGATTTTTTTTCATGAATGTTTATAGAATGCCTACCATGTGGTGACTGTCACTAAGGAAAATGCAAAGGAAAATAAGTTGATTGCAGTTCCTGCCCTTATGGAATTTGCTTTATAATGGGGAGACAGAAAGGCCCAGTAAACAGACAACTTGCCGTGTTTACCCACTCAGGTAAATGAAAGGTTAAATACGATGTTTTCAAGATGTTTTTGACTTGCTTCTTTTTTTCTTCCCTTTCTCAGTGTTAGAAATTGATTTTGCGGAGCTCACCTTGGAAGAGATTATTGGCATCGGGGGCTTTGGGAAGGTCTATCGTGCTTTCTGGATAGGGGATGAGGTTGCTGTGAAAGCAGCTCGCCACGACCCTGATGAGGACATCAGCCAGACCATAGAGAATGTTCGCCAAGAGGCCAAGCTCTTCGCCATGCTGAAGCACCCCAACATCATTGCCCTAAGAGGGGTATGTCTGAAGGAGCCCAACCTCTGCTTGGTCATGGAGTTTGCTCGTGGAGGACCTTTGAATAGAGTGTTATCTGGGAAAAGGATTCCCCCAGACATCCTGGTGAATTGGGCTGTGCAGATTGCCAGAGGGATGAACTACTTACATGATGAGGCAATTGTTCCCATCATCCACCGCGACCTTAAGTCCAGCAACAGTGAGTATGAAGAGATGGGGCTGGAGGGGCTCAGAGCAGTTGCAGTTGTATCCCACGACGTCAGTAGGAGTGGACTTCTAATGGAACCTTAGAGGGCAGTGAAACTCCTTGCTTAAACACATTCCATCCTTGAATGGAGATGTAGGAGGTGAGATGAGTGCCAAGAAAGATTGGTTTAGGAAGAGAGGAAAGAGGCGCCTGAGGAGTTTGGGATAATTTTGAGCTTTTTTTTTTAGCAGTCTAGAGTGGCCTTCCCTACTATTTTTCCACATATCAGAATGTGTAATTCTGATATGCTGTGCACAAAACTTGTGGGAAGTGTGAATATTATCACAAAAGGGATTTTCCTCTTTGTGGAACAAGAGGTAGAGCAAGCCTTTATTATCTGTTTGAATGTTTACCTAAACACCTCAACTTGAGATACCCATCACAGAAGGGACTGTAAGAAGAGAATGCTATTCTTTAAACTGTGAGCTGATTCAGGTGGTGATGTCCATTTGGAGAGCATGACTTCCTGGTAATATCACCAACCTCCTGGTAGCCCAAGGGTGGTATTAATTAAATGCCATAATTACCTAGTGTTTAATAGCAGGGAACTGAGAAGTAACTCTTTATTAAATATCCAGAATCCATAAACTGGATTTAAAGCAAGTGTTAAATATTAAATGGTGAGTTGGTAGAAGCTCCAGTCCTTCACGTTGGCTGACTCAGCAGGGCTAGGAATACGCTTCTTTTCTGTGGTAGTTTGTGCTCTCTCTTGCCTAAACTGGGTGGTAAAGAGGACACAATTGCATAATGGTATGTACTTAAAATCACTTGGAGCATCCTGTCCCAGAGAGGAGGGCATTTGAGTTGAAGGACTTTGGGTGGGGGAAGCATGGGCCCCCAGGGACTTCACTCTCTTTGCATCCTTCAGCTTTGAGCCTGGAAATCCTTCAGACTTTGTTTTGCTCCAGGCTGTTCCAGATGTGGTTTATTTTTCTGTTGATACTATGGTGAATCTGTTTACTTTAAAAACTACATTTTAAGGCCAGGCGCGGTGGCTCACGCCTGTAATCCCAGCACTTTGGGAGGCCAAGGCGGGCAGATCATGAGGTCAGGAGATCGAGACCATCCTGGCTAACACGGTGAAACCCCGTCTCCACTAAAAATACAAAAAATTAGCCGGACATGGTGGCGGGAGCCTGTAGTCCCAGCTACTCGGGAGGCTGAGGCAGGAGAATGGTGTGAACCCGGGAGGTGGAGCTTGCAGTGAGCCGAGATTGTGCCTCTGCACTCCAGCCTGGGTGACAGAGCGAGACTCCATCTCAAAAAAACAAACAAAAAAACTACATTTTAAAATTATGTAAGTAGTGGTGGGGTGCAGTGGCTCATGTCTGTAATCCCAGCACTTTGGGGAAGCTGAGGCTTGAGGGCGAAGAGGATTGCTTGAGCCCAGGAGTTTGAGACCAGCCTGGGCAACATAGCGAGACCCCATCTCTTAAAAAAAATTATGTAAGTAGTAAGTGTCTATTGTAGAAAATTAGAAAGTGCAGCTAAAAAGAAGAGGAAGTTAACCTATAATGTTTCCCTTTAGAGAGAACAACTATTACATTTGGCATATCCTTCCCGACATTTTTAAAGCGTATCTGGTTTATGCATATACAAATATACATTTATCTTTTCTACCTGTGTTCTTTTCCCCCTTAATAATAGAAAAACTCCTTCTTGTAAGGGTATGGAACATTAGATATGTATTTTAGATATGATGCATGTGAAGTATTTAAGTTACGTAAAAAATCTGGTTTCTCTTTTTCCCTTTGCCATTTTCCTGTCTCTTTATCATGATGATTTTCATCCCCGCCCCACCCCCACTCAAATTCTATTCTTTAAATAAATTAAAACTTTTGGGCCGGGCGCGGTGGCTCACGCCTGTAATCCCAGCACTTTGGGAGGCCGAGGCGGGCGGATCACGAGGTCAGGAGATCGAGACCATCCCGGCTAAAACGGTGAAACCCCGTCTCTACTAAAAATACAAAAAATTAGCCGGGCGTAGTGGCGGGTGCCTGTAGTCCCAGCTACTTGGGAGGCTGAGGCAGGAGAATGGCGTGAACCCGGGAGGCGGAGCTTGCAGTGAGCCGAGATCCCGCCACTGCACTCCAGCCTGGGCGACAGAGCGAGACTCCGTCTCAAAAAAAAAAAAAAAAAAAAAAAAACTTTTGGTGACCTCTTTTCAAAGTAATTTCTACCTAGAGATTGCTTATATTGCTGGAAAATGTGATGGAGAAGCTGAATTTTCTTTATTTTACTTTTTCTAATATTTTTATCATGTTGAGAGAAGTAGGCAAAGTACTGTAAAGTTACATAATTGAACCCATTTAGAAAGTTGGGCTAGGATAACAAAGTTGTAAAAGTTAATAGTTTACTTGATGAAGTTTTGAATTTGAGTATAATTTTAAGCTCTTCATACACGTTTTTACCTCTTATGAGATTTGTATTTAGGAGTGGAGGCTCTTATGCAGGAAAAGTTACCCTGTTAAGGTTCTGCTGTTTGTAGGAGAGGGCAAGAGACCTGAGTGTCATTCTGTTATTCAGGAGACAAAACTCTGGTCCTTTCTTTTTCCTTATGTGGGTTTTAGGATTGCCAAGGGGAGCCATCAGGATTGCAGAAGTTGTATAATACTTAAACATTCGGCAGTATTTTAAAGGACATTCTCAATACAGTTGCTGCCCAGTAATGTTTATGGTCCATTGGACTGCATGGTTGGCGCTGATGTTGATGCTAGTTGTAAATCTTACATGTGTGGTGGGGTAGCACTTTGACGTTTGTCTGTGGGTGGATGTTTGCCAAGGATTGTATACGTCTAATATGAGCCTCGATGATACCACCATTCTTACTCCATTGCAATGTGTACATGACTTGAAAATGATTGTATTTTATTTATTTATTTTTTTTAGAGACAGGGTCTCACTTTGTCACCCGGGCTGGAGTGCAGTGGTGTGATCTTTGCAACCGCCGCCTCCCAGGTTCAAGTAATTCTCCTGCCTCGGCCTCCTGAGTAGCTGGGATTACAGGAGACTGCCACCACACCTGGCTAATTTTTGTATTTTTAGTAGAGGTGGGGTTTCGCCATGTTGGCCAGCCTGGTCTCGAACTCCTGACCTCAGGTGATCCACCTGCCTCAGTCTCTCAAAGTTCTGGGACTACAGGCGTGAGCCAGTGCACCAAGCCTTTTTTTAAAAAATTTTATTATTATTATTATTATTATTTTAATAGAGATGGGAGTCTTGCTTTGTGGCCCAGGCTTAAAATTATCTTAGAAGTGTTATGCCACTTCTTTGCCCATTGCCTCCAGCTTGGGAGCCATAACTTCTTTGTATTTTATAGACTTGGGAACACTGGTTTGTTTTCCTTGCTTTGTTAAGGGTTCCAGAGAATTGGATTTTGGTCATTGTCATGTGAGGGCAGAATACTAGGAATTATATGTGTTAGTTGACTTTGACCATTCGAGAAAAGAGTATGTATACACAGGAGCTGTCTTTGTGGGAAAGAGAAAGCAGTTGATGATAAACCCCTAGCTGTTAGAAAGGTTCAGTAAAAAGTGTCTTATTAAAATGTTTTATTATCTTGGTCATCTACTTTAAAAAGTCATTTGCAGTTTACTGGCAGTGAAACGCGTATGGCATATAGTATCCTATGTTGATACAGAATCTGCATTGAGTTTAGATTGACCGTACGTAGCCCGAAAAGCCAAACCAAATAACAGCGGCTAAACAAGGTCTACACTGACTTGTCTTTGAAAAGAAGCCCGGAGGATTTTAGGGCAGCTCCATATTGTCATCTGGGACCCAGGCTCCTATTTTTCACTCCCTCATCCCAGTACTTGGCTTCCATCCTCATTGTCACCCTGTGGTCCAGATGGCTGCTGGACTGCCAGTTATGAGGTCCAAGTCACAGGCCTGAAGGATGAGGGGAAGCAGAAGCACAGAAAAGGTGCCCCATGTGGCTGAGTTGGCTCCCATTAATCTCCCGGAAGTCCAGCATGGCGTATGTGCTTGTGTTAATTGGACAGAGTGTGGTCGCCTGGCCATCACTCGCTGGAGAGGAGACAGGGAGATGGAGGCTTTTATGCTGGGTGTCATTGAACCCAGCTGAGAATCAGGATCTGTTATCAAGGAAGGGCATTGCCGCTAAGGAATTGGCAGCTAGCAGTCTTACCATGGAATCTTAATGCAGGACATGCATCGGTATGAACTGTTACCTCAGATGTCTAGCATCATACAGCCAAACAAGTTTAGCCAGGCCCTGGGACGTGTGGCTCAGACCCCTGGCTTAACTACTGGTTTATACTACTTTACCACATCACATCATTAACTTAAGCATCACGCCCTAAAACTACTTGTAAAAAGCCTCTGGCTATAAAAATGGATTTATGTGTCTCTTCTCCATCAAATTGGGGAAAACCAGTTACATGATAGTTAGCAAACACGTTGTTGAAAGATGGTCTTAAATGGAAAGGTTGTCCTTTTGGGGGCAGGTAGATGACTTCAGGATTTTGTATAGTAGGTGGCTTGGTGTAACGGCATTGGGCAGAAGAGCAGTTTAATAGTGGCCATTAAAAGTTATATAAGTGGCCAGGTGTGGTGGCTCACGCCTGTAATCCCAGCACTTTGGGAGGCTGAGGGAGGAGGATCACCCGAGGTCGGGAGTTCAAGACCAGTCTGGCCAACATGGTGAAACCCCATCTCTACTAAAATACAAAAATTAGCCTGGGGTGGTGGTGGGCGCCTGTAATCCCAGCTACTCGGGAGGCTGAGGCAGAATCATTTGAACCCGGGAGGCAGAGATTGCGGTGAGCTAAGATTGTGCCACTGCACTCCAGCCTGGGTGACAGAGACAGACTCTGTTAAAAAAAAAAAGAAAAAAGAATGAAAAAAGTTAAATAAGTAAAGATATCAATATTCAAGTAATATGAAAAAGCTTTGGAAAGTAAAAACATTGAAAGTGAAGGTATTCTCATTACTTTTATATTCATATTAAATAACTCTTTCCTTCTCTTAGAAAATGCAGAAAAGGGCTGGGCACAGTGGCTTAAGCCTGTAATCCCAGCACTTTGGGAGGCTGAGGTGGGCGGATCTCTTGAGCCTAGGAGTTTGAGACCAGCCTAGGCAACACAACAAAATCCCATCTCTGCAAAAAATACAATAAAATCTAGCTGGGTGTGGTGGTGCATGCCTGTGGACCCAACTACTTGGGAGGCTGAGGTGGGAGGATCGCTTGAGCCTGGAAAGTTGAGGCTGCAGTGAGCAGTGATTGTAACATTGCACTCCATCCTGGGCGACAGAGTGAGACTCTATCTCAAAAAAAATAAATAAATAAAAGAAAAAGAGAGGCTGGGCATGGTGGCTCACGCCTGTAATCCCAGCACTTTGGGAGGCTGAGGTGGGCAGATCACGAGGTCAGGAGTTCGAGACCAGCCTGGCCATCATAGTGAAACCCCATCTCTACTAAGAACAAACAAAAAAAATAGCCGAACGTGGTGGCATGCGCCTGTAGTCCCAGCTACTCAGGAAGCTGAGGCAAGAGAATCACTTGAACCCGGGAGGCGGAGGTTGTGGTGAGCCAAGATTGAGCCACTGCACTCCAGCCCGGGCAACAGAGTGAGTCTCTATCTCAAAAAAAAAAAAAAAAAAAAAGGAAAAGAAAAAGAGGCTGGTCACGGTGGCTCATTCTTGTAATCCTAGCACATTGGGAGGCCGAGACAGGTGGATCACGAGGTCAGGAGATCGAGACCATCCTGGCTAACACAGTGAAACCCCGTCTCTACTAAAAATACAAAAAGCTAGCCGGGCATGGTGGTACGTGCCTGTAGTTCAAGCTACTTGGGAGGCTGAAGCAGGAGAATTGTTTGAACCCAGGAGACAGAAGTTGCAGTGAGCCGAGATCGCATCACTGCACTCCAGCCTGGGTGACAGAGTGAGACAACATCTTGGAAAAAAAAAAGAAAAAAGAAAAGAAAAAGAAAACGGAAAAACAGGGGTAAAAACACTGTGTGTTTTTCCAGTTTTTCTGTGCATTTTTGCATGTTTATTTTTACCCCTAGATAATAGCCTAACAAAAATATTGCTTGTAGCATGTGTTTCTCCTCCCTCTGTCAGTGTGTTGTCAGCTTGTGGCCCTAATCACTACACTCTTGCCTGCACACTCCTGTTGGACAGCTGGGGTATTTCATTGTTGTTCTGTGTGGCCTAGTGCTTTAGTTTCATATAATTGGGAATAACGTCGTTCTGCTCACAAGGCCACAGCATCCACTTTGCATTAATGTTTGATTTATCCCCTGCCTGTACCTTCTTTGGGTTTCAACCAACTCATTCTTAACTTTATAGCTGAAAGAGCAGAGGTGAGTGGTGAACTGTATTTGGTTTGGGGCTAGGCACACCTGTCTTCCTCTTTTCAGATGTCAGCTTAAATGATCATGAGATCTTTGCTGCCTTCTCTTCTTCTAGAGGCACTTTCTTCTTTAGCCAAGCTGGTCTCCCCTTTCCTCCTTGCTGGCAGGGGTGCCCTCGCCTCATCTCTCTGCCTGTCCAACCCTTCCGCAGTTTTCTGTGCTCAGTTCAAACCTGGCTGCTTCTGGTAGCCCATCACATATCCTTGCTGTAGTCAGTGCTAAGTCATCATTTGATGAATGTGTACTACCTGGTAGTTCGTAGAAGAATATTGGAGTGACAAGAGACTAGAACCCCTGGTCTAATGGCTGCAAGTTCAACTGCCATCCAGCCAGGGTGAGTCAGTTTAAAGCACTGGTAGGCATTCATAGGCCATAACGAAACAAAACACCGTGCTGGCCTGTAAGCCAACCTGCCAAGTTACACAACCTGGCCTCTTTTTTTGGCTATGATTTCAGGAGCATCCCTTACATCTCCAAATAGGTTTTGTGTCTTTAGCTCCCAGCATAGTTCCAGGTGCATAGTAGGGTCCTCAATAAATGTATAGATAAAAGGAATGAATGAATGAATGAATGAATGAATGAAATATCATGTGAACTGGTTTACTTACGTGATCCCAAAATGTAAATGTTCCCTTTCTCTTACCCATGGGTGTCATTCAGACCTCACTTGTGTGGAATTATTTATTTATTTATTTATTTTATTTTTTATTTAGTAGAGACAGGGTCTCGCCGTGTTGCCCAGGCTGGTCTTGAACTCCTGGGCTCAAGCAATCCACCTGCTTTGGTCTCCCAAACTGTTGGAATTACAGGCGTGAGCCACCAGGCCCGGCCATATGGAATTTGCTTTTCATCCTCGTTAGAGTCCCCTGGCCCTTGATCCATCTTAATTGTCTGAGCCCAACCACCTGTTTTGGATGCTGGAGTGTGGTGTTGTGACAGTACATTCGTTATTAATCCCAAACGCCTCTGCCTCCTCCCCTCTTCACACTTTTCCTGATCACCAGCCCTGGCTAACTCACTGGCCCACGTCTCCACTGTAGCCAGTTGCCGGCTGCTAGGAGCTGCTGGAGCCGACCACTGCCCGGTGCTGTCGGGTCTACTCCCAGTCTGTTCTGTCCAACCTCAGTACTCCCTTTGTTCCCAACTTGGGGACTGCCTGTCACGCTCCTCATGGTGCCTGTTCCAGTTTTGTTGAATTGTTGGATTGGCTGCTCCTGTTGGAACTGGAGGTCCATGTAGCATCTCCCTCTCCAAATTCTGTTCACTTGCACCTTGTCCTCGTCTCCAACCTTCTCTTGGAGTTCACAAGGTCAGGAAGCTGAAGACATGCTTTCACCAGTGTGAGGATGATAGAGATTTTGTCTTCCCATTGGCCTCAGCTCAGCAGGCTCTAACATTCTAAGCCCTGGAGTATACCTGGACCACACACTAGCCAAAGCTCCTGACTGGTTTTCCTGTGTGGGATTTCTCATGGCTGGTGAGTTTGCTGGCTGCCAGACCTGTGGCACCCTGGGACCCACTGGATCCCAGTCTCTAGTGTCGTCCTGCACGCATGGTAGAGCCCATTCTGCCTGATGGAGGAAGCAGCTAAGGCTCAGGCACCCTGGTCAGGGATGATGTGGCATTAGACTTGCCTCGAAAAAGGATGAGGAGTAGCTGTAAAAGCAGTTTTTTCCTACAAGAGAATGAAATAGGCAGGAAAACATTCCCAGAGTGGACCTGGAAGGCAGTGAAGTATCATCTGGAAAACCCAAGTCTTGGTCCTTTTTGAGAGGTAAGTAAATGACTTTTTGTATGCTTCATGGAGGCCTCTCCAAATGAAATACTTCTGGCATTACCTGGCTCAGGTACTTCTGAATTTCACTCCCTGTTTTTTTCCTTAGTCAGGTCCTTTGGTGGTTTTTGCCACATGTTCCTTCTTAACAGAGAGTTGGAGGATGATGGATGTGTTTTGAGGATTTTCCCAGGCAAAAGTGTACAAGCGCTCAGAGAATTGGATTTATCTTTTGGTTGCAGGAGGCTATGCCAGAGGTTAGCTAGCAGCCACCTGGCGTGTCTCAGAGCATCCTGTTCAGTTGATGGGTAGCGTTTCCTATGAATACAGAGATATGTTCTGCAAGCCAAAATAAATACGTAAGTGAATAAAGCTGAAATGAAGCAAATAACCAGCCGGGTGAACAGGACTCAGCAGAAGAAACCATTGAGGCCGGAGATCTGACTTGCAAGTCCTGTTGCATCTTTCAGTTCTTGAACGTGGTTTGGGAACCTTGCCTTTCCCTTTTGTCCTGTGCCTTTGTGGCCATCTCCTGCACAAAGTTGGTTTTCTTTTATGGGCCAGTCTAAGTCCTGGTGTTAAGAATACAGCAGGAAACAAAAAAGACACAGGCCCTCCTCTCCAGGAGCTCCCTGTGGGGTCAGGGGGAAAGACCTTGATCAAAATAAAGTGGCACAAAATGTAAAGTCAAGACTGTGGTGAGTACCATGAGCATGGCTGATAACGGGACATGCCTCGAGAGGAGTGCTGGAGAATTCTCTGAGGAAGTTTTGTTTCCGACGTGATCTGAGAGAGGCAAGAGTGGAGACAAAGTGGAAAGGGAAGGTGGGGCAAGGAGGTTCCAGGCAGTGAGGCCAGCAGGCCCAGTGCCCCGTACAGTGTGGCCTCCTGGGAGGCAAATTGCGTGCTTGGATTCTCTTGCCTCCATCCTTTCCTGTGGTTGGTGGAGAAGGATTCGTAAGGGGAATGGATCTCTTTGTGGGCCACGTGCCTTCATTTCCCAGCGGTTGCTCTAGAGTTCTGCCTGCCTCTTCTTCCTATTTCATCACCGTGGAGGTTCTCTGCAGCTTACTCAGTGGGGCAGCAAGTAGCTCAGGACACCAGGCAACTTTTAAGCTCTCATAATGCTGTGCTGGAGTTGGAGCAGAAGCTTGTGCTGTATGAAGGGCCTTGGTTGGGGTTTCTGGACCATGAGCTTTTAGTTGCAGAAAACAGCCTTGGTGAGGGGTTGAGTTCAGGGCAAGAAAGGCTTTGAAAGGCGTGTGGGGTCTGATTTCCAGATGAGTATTTAGTCTCTTCCTCTTTGATCTGTTTCCTCTGATTTGAGCCACTATTGCCTTGAAAGTAAGTAATACATTTTATTGTATCTTCCCTTCCCCACATCCCTCCCAACCAAACCTGGTAAGAGCTAGGTATTGACCACAGTTTGCGGGTGGTCTGTGGCACCGTCATTGTTCAGGTTCAAGATTTGTCCTTCAGGATCTCTGAGGAGATGAGAGAAGAGCCTGCCTATTTCTCCTTTCCTCCTCATCTCTTGGAAAAATTTCCATTCCTTAACCTGGTTCTTCACCTTGTTTCGATGATGTAGCTCAGGGTCACTTATGGATGGCACACAAAGCAGTGATGTCAGTGGTCTGGTTGAGTCAGGAGAAAAATGTAGCTTCTATCCCAGGTCCAGGGAGCCCAGGTCTTTACTGTGGAGTCCCCTTCAATACCCCTGACAGCCTCTTGTAGAACCACACTTTGTTCCTCTTATAATGTAAAGATTAACATAGGGCCAGGGAACCACGCAAAATGGTTCCATGCAAAATGTGGATACATTCATTTTGGAGGGAAAAGGTCAGGGCTCTTATTATTGTAAGACTCAGAGAAGGTTATGAATCAATATCATTACAGATAACTTAAATTGGGCATCTGTGTAAGAGGTGTTCTGGTGCAGTGGAAAGAACGTGGGCCCCAGGGCTGTCCTTGACACTGACTGGCCGGGTGGCCTTGGGCACGTCTGTGATCTCTCTGGACCTCAGATTCTTCATCTGCAAAATGAGGGGTTTGGACAGGTGGTCTCTGAGGTCCTGCCCAGGACTTAAAGCATGAATGTCTGTGTATTTGGGAATGTTAGTGACTACACGGTTTGTCTGCCTGTGCATGTCAGGCTGCTATGTGCTCAGGTTCCCCACTTCGGGGCTTGTTCTGGCTTGGGCTGAATCTACTGAAAGGGAATCTTTGCTGAGTGGTTTAGTGGAGAAAACAGTTGACAGGAGCCCACAAGTGGTCCCCTTCCCCCACTGCTGCTCAGGGCATGACAGATGGCCTTGCTGAGAGAAGATGCTCTGGTCACATGAACCATCCTGGAGATTCACAATAATCCAAGGACAGCCTTCCTCCTAGAAGCAGGACACAGTTAGTCGCCTGCTACTCTGTCCTTGGAGCTAAGCAAGGGGCATCCTGGTGTCTCGGAGCTTTGCTGCTGCTTTGATTTACACTTGCTTCCTGCTCACTTTTTTGAAACAACATAGGGCTTTTCCAGGTGGGGCTCAAGGTCACTTAGGCGACTTTAATTGTGTGCCTCATATATCCCCACTGACCTGCAGAATAACAGGAAGAACATGTCCCCTGTGTGATCCACTATACTGTAAGAGTGAGACATATACATTAGACATATTAAAAGCTGTGGGTTGCATGTCCCTTTCCCTCCTAACTTCCCTAAAGTTTTTGCTCTCTATAGGAAACTTGAAGGTTTTGATCTGAGAAGAAAACATTTTCCCCTTAAGATTGGTTTTGGGAACCACCGTGGTCTAATGGAAGAAACACCGCCTTGGGAGTTAGATAGACTTGGATTTAAGCTACTTCTTGAGCACTTGACATTGGGCACGTGGCCAACCTCTTGGAGTCACAGGAAATCTCATCCGTAAAATATGAACAACACAGAAATGAGCAGTACTGTTTTAAGATGATATGAGCTATTATGTGTCAGTATCACACAGGCACTGCATTCAGTAAATGGCACTGTGCTTTTTTTCCTTTCTAAGGAGTAGGAGAAACTTCTTTCCATTCCTTGTTATTTTAGTTGCACACAGGATATGGCTGAATTTCCCTTTTTAAAGTGGTGCAAGAGGATTTTAGGCAGCCCTGAGTAGCCCTCTCCTAAGCCAGCCAGGCATAGTTTTACTATTCCCACCGAAACAGGCAGATTTAATTCTGCTGAAGCCCCTGAAAGGGATTGAGCCCCACCAGCCCCTTCTAACTGTGCAAAAGCCTCTTGTGGAAACGGCCCGTGCGTCTTGAACCCTCTGGACTCAGCCTTAACTCGAAGTGCTTGGTCCTCTGAAAAATGCAGCCTCGTCCTGTCTGTTACAGCCTTTGGCTTGATTGAATGGGACAGCTGGCCAGTTTTATGGCTCTGCTGGACTCTCAGTTGATAATTAAAATGCTTTTGCCCCAGGAGGAAGGCAATATATTTATTTCCCTCCCTTCTCTGCTGCATTAGTCTGCTTTTTTCACATCTTCTCCTGGCCTCCCTATGTCAACTTAGCTTTCTTGTTACACAGTGTCATTTAAGACTCTGGAGTATTCAGGGTGGATTGAAGAGATTTTATTTTGAGTTTTGTGGTCTTGTTTTGGAAGGTAAACGGAGCATGTCTGGCCCTTTTTCATCTCTGTATAAGAGCTTTGTTTCCTACAGCTACTCTCTAAATCTGGTTGTGTCCAGCACTTAGTAGGTCCTTAAGAAATGTTTATAGTTTTGATAATCACAGATTCTAGCACTGTGTCTTTCCCATACATACCTCCTTCCCGCATAGACATTCTCCAAACAACACCACACCTCTTCTCCTTTAGAGCCCTCATTTAGGATGTGAACCCTCTCTTCTTTTGGGGATGAGCCCATGTGAACTGTGGGTGAAACTGGATTTGAGTCTTACCTGGCTCTGTTACTTGCTAGCTAAGGACCTTGAGCAAATGATACACCCTCTGTGGCTTAGCTTTTGCAGATGTAAAGCGGGAATAATGATAATACCACCGATCTCATCTTACGGGGTAGAAGTGAGGATTAAATAAGATCATCTAGGTGAAGTTCTTAGGAGTGCCTGGCACGTAATAAGCACCCAGTATATTGACCATTTTAATTATAATTCCATCTGCTACACTTATTCCCTTAGTATTTAGATCACAATTGGTGATTATATTTTTGGGTGGTATCTTTTGTCTTGTACTTGCATTTTCATTGTTTTAGTCATATTCTTTCCAGTTGTACTGTAGAATTTAAAAAATTCAAAATGTAGTGGATACACATGGGTAAAAATAGGACAAAATTGAAATACAAAGAAAAGTCTGTCTCCAGAAAAAGAGAGAGAAAAAAGAAAAGTCTCTGTCCTTCCCTCCCAAACCCTAAGTTTACTTCTTAGAGGCAAATGCGATTAAGTATCTTTTTGTCTCTGATAACTTTTTTTCTATGAAAACATAGAAATCCCAATAGAATTCTGGACAGCAGAGGTGTTGCTGTTTTTCATCCCTTCGTCTTCCCTTGCTCCCCCCATCTCTGTCTCCCCTCACATCATCCCTAGTATAGGACTTCGCATGTAGCAGCCCAGGTGTTTGGTGGCAATTCCAATGTGGCCAACCAAAAAATCTTGTTTTGTTTGTGTGTTTTTTTTTGTCCCTAGTTCCTTTCTGGATGGACTCAAAACACTTTTACTGAATGAGCTTTGTTTGTTCTCTTCAAGCCTTTGCTTTTATATATCTATTTCATAAACTTCTCAGGGGCTTGGGACCCTAGAGGAAGGTGTTCCTTGGAGTAGCTTGTAAAGTCAGAAGCCCAATGTGTGTCTTTGGAATTGCCCAGCTGTGAAGGTACTGACTGTCCATCCATCCCTTGGAGCAGGTTTGGGAGTGGGGCCCATTGCAGCAGGTGGGCATCAGGATGCTGGCAATGACCGATCTTTTTTTTTTTTTTTTTGAGACAGAGTCTTGTACTGTTGCCCGAGCTGGTGTGCAGTGGTGCCATCTCGGCTTGCTGCAACCTCTGCCTCTGAGGTTCAAGTGATTCTCCTGCCTCAGCCTCCCGAGTAGCTAGGATTACAGGTGCCCGCCACCACACCCAGCTAGTTTTTTGTATTTTTAGTAGAGACGGGGTTTCACTATGTTGGCCAGGCTGGTCTCAAACTCCTGACCTTGTGATCCGCCCGTCTTGGCCTCCCAAAGTGCTAGGATTACAGGTGTGAGCCACTGCGCCCAGCCAGTGACTGATCTTATAGTTAAGATCTTTCTCTGCAAATCCTTGTGACTGCAAGCTGATGTGGCTTATGAGGCAATATAACAGGAAAAAGTATCATTGAAAAAGGAAAAAAAAATAGTTATGCTAGATTCCAGTGTGCAGATACAACTGTTTTCATCTTTATATTTGGCTTTCCTATTCTTATCTATATACCTCATCTCCTCCTGCTGTTTTATTCACGGTGTACATGCCATCTGGACACTTAAAATTTGTTTTTGTTTCTGCATTCTGTTAACCTTCAGGGTCCAAGAGGAAGGAGGATGCCTTAATCAGTGAGTACCAAGAAAAACCAAAAAACTAAAAATAAAAACAATAAATAAGAGGAAGGAGAAAAGGACTGTGGGTAGGGAAAATAGCGATAGATTTTGGATTCTGGTCATTCTTGACTTTCTTTTTTGCTTATAGATATGATTAGAGCTTACTGGAACCTTACAGTTGTGAACTAGAGAAGCTGAGTGACTTGCCTAAGGTCATCCTGATGCTCATGATAGTGTTCCTTCTTTTAGCCCGACAATGGAACACTGTTACTCTGCCAGGCTTTCCAGCTAGGACCAAAGTATTTCAGACAACAGTGGAAACAGGATCTGTACCCCATTCGAGGAACCAGGGGGACAATTTCCTTGTAAGGTCCCAAGGTCAAAGTTTGGGGTGAAGTCAGTGTTTTTCCTGGTTACTAACATGAACTCGGTCTTTGGTATGTTATGTAGAAGGATAACAGTGTTCAGTATTCTTCTAGGTGGTACAATTTTTAGGAAGAAAAGAATAATAAAAACATTTTTTATTTCTTAAGCAGTAGACTCCTGGCTCCCTGTGCTTAGAGATAGGAATCCCCGCTGAGAGATAGATGGGAATCCTGGAGTGGATTGTTAATAATCTCCCTGTTATTGGCACAGTTGTGTGATAGAGAGTTGTTTTCCCCTCTCCCCTGCCTTAGGAGACCTACCCTTACTAAGTATTTGGATTAAATTAATAATAAAATAGCTTGCTTTGCCCAAATGCACAGCAGCTAGTGACAAGGGGAGATGCCACATCACATCCCATGGATGGCAATGGAAAATCAACTAAGGACGTAAAATTTTCCCACATAAGCTTCAGATGACTTAAGATTATTAGTGTAACCTGATATTATCTGATACTCTCCTTGGCTTATTATTCATGGTGACAGTAATACATGGCCCTCATTTCCTTCATCCCCCAAATAGTCCTAGAGGTAGTAGAAAGAGTATGGTAGTCCCCTCTTATCTGCCATTTCACTCTCCCTGTTTTTAGTTACTCATAGTCAACTGTGGTCCAGAAATATTACATGGAACATTCTAGAAATAACGATTCATAAGTTTTAAATTGCACACCATTCTGAGTAGCGCAATGAAGTCTCACGCCTTCCCACCCCTTCTTGTGTGGGATGTGAATCACATCCTGTCCAGCATGTCCACACTGGGTGTACTACCTGCCCATTAGTCATCCACATGGTCTGTCCTGACATCCAACCATTGACATTGTCACAACTCAATGATCCCGGGTCATCCAAAGCAGACGATCCTCTGACTACACATCAGAAGGTTGGGAGTACCAAACACTGTGTCACTGTGTCACCTCGCCTATGTCATCTACCGCGCACTTCATCTCATCACGTACCCATTTTTTCATCTCATAACGTCACAAGAAGGGCGAATACAGTACAACAAGATCTTTTCAGAGAGAGAGAGAAACCACATTAATAAAACTTTTCTTATAGTATAGTTGTTCTATTTTATTGTTAGTGTTAATCTCTTACTGTGCCTAATTTATAAATTAAACTTTATCATAGGTATGAATGTATAGGAAAAAACAGTATATACAGGGTTCTATCCATGGATTGGGGCATCCACTGGGGATCCTGGAATGTGTCCCCTGAAGATAAGGAGGGACTCCTGTAATCATGCTTTGTATTTGGTCCTTTAGAATTTTATTTGAAACAGTATCTACCTGAGGTACTCCAGGAAGAGGTGGTAGTATCCCCATTTTATAACAGAGGAAGCTGAGGCTCAGGGAGGTTTAACAATGCCCTGCCCAAGAACACATAGCTAGAGAATGATAGGGCCTGGACTCAAATACCAGGCTCTTGAGTGCTTGCATGGTTTTCTTTCTGCTCTGCTTGTTGGAAACAGACTGCAATAGGAGATCCTTCTCTAGCACCTTGTTCTGCAGGACGGACCCTGTGACTCACCAGAGTCTGGGTGCAACAGGGCTAGACCTGGACATTAAACCTGGTCTTGGGGACTTTGTGGGGTAGATCATCCCCACATTTCGAACTACAGATAGGGGATCCTTTATTTCTCCAACCCAGGACCTCTGGTACCTCCAGACCTGATGGTCCTAAAATGCACAAGACCTGAGAGCTAGTTTCTCATTTCTCTTTTCCCCAGGGCCCCTCCAAAAGCACAATTTGAACCTCAGCCATCCTTCTGTAGCCTCAGGTTTGCTTCTTCTTCCATCTCACTCACTCTGTCTCCCAGGCTGGAGTACAGTGGCCTCCACTTCCCGGGTTCGAGCAGTTCTCCTGCATCAGCCTCCTGAGTAGCTGGGATTACTGACGCCTGCCACCACACCTGGCTAATTTTTGTATTTTCAGTAGAGATGGGGTTTCAACATATTGGCCAGGCTGGTCTTGAACTCCTGTCCTCAAGTGATCTGCCCACCTCGGCCTCCCAAAGTTGTGGGATTACAGGCATGAGCCACTGTGCCCGGCTTCAGCTTTGCTTCTTGTTAGTGTTTGTCCTGAACCAAAATTGTGCTTGCATACAGCTGTCCAGAAGTTGGGCCATCGCAGAAGCTTCCATGTTATTGGGCTCTTGTACTTACTTGTGTTTGTGTTGTGGTTTTGTTTTTTATTTTATTTTATTTATTTTAGTATTTTTTTTTGTTTTGAGACGGAGTTTTGCTCTTGTTTCCCAGGCTGGAGTGCAGTGGCGCGATCTCAGCTTGCTGCAGCCTCCACCTCCCGGGTTCAAGCGATTCTCCTGCCTCAGCCTCTCAAGTAGCTGGGATTACAGGCATGCACCACCATGCCCAGCTAGTTTTGTATTTTTAGTAGAGGTGCAATTTCACCATGTTGGTCAAGCTGGTCTCGAACTCCTGACTTCAGGCTATCTGCCTGCCTCGGCCTCCCAAAGTGCTGGGATTACAGGCGTGAGCCACTGCGCCTGGCCGTGGTTTGTTTTTGTTTAAACAAAAGAAGTATATATAGATTTCAGATACATTCACAGATGATTGTTTATGGAATTTAAAAAATTTTAACCAGAAAAGTAATATAAACATTCAAAAAGGGTTTGGACACGTCTGTTAATTGCAGAGCCCTGTGTGGTTATTCAGATGCCACGTCTTTCAGCTCTGTGTAGTCTGGGAGGTGAGCGGGCCTTTCTGGGGTGTTTCTTTGCAGCTGAATTTATGGCCAAATGGACCATGCGTGAGCAAGAGAGCAGTTCCATTCCTCCTGGAGGAGCGCTGAGCATGCTTTGTGGTGCCCACTTAACACTTTTAGATGAATACTATGAAAGACAAATTTGACTTCACTGTTCATTCCTTGAAGCTCCAATTTGGATTGATTGCTGGTGGAATAACACCTGGACTATCAATGAGTGAAGCCTCCCGGCTATTTCCTTCGCCCACCTCACAAAGAGAATTTGGATTTTGCTGCTCCTGGAACTTTAGAGCTTTGTGATGGGAGGAAAGGGGAGGGGACAAAGAGTGAATCCTTCAGGAGCTCTTTTGGGAGGAATTTTGAGCAGGAAATGAGGGAGCTTCTTTCTATAAGGACAGTGGATGGAATTAAAAAGGGGTATTTGAGGAAGCGTTGCTGTGGATCATATGAAACCTTTGGATGCTCAAGAAAAATAAGAGTCAGACTAATTTGAATTTACTTTAGGATGCCGTCTTCCTTCCCACCTTACCGTTGTTTGGACACAGTACTGTCCTGGGCTTCTAACATGTGAGTCTGTGGCTTTATATGCTTGACTCTAGTTGCATGGACCATGAATCTGGCCAATTTTAGGTTTCTTACAAGCATTTTGATGCTTGATTTGATGTGTAGTATATTGGTGGAGAGACTGGGATAATGACCTTCCAGGAAGAGTAAAAGTGACCCCACTGAGGAAAAATAAGATATTCTAAGACTTTTCCTTACATGGGCATTCACTGAAGGCAGAGAACACGGCATTTGAGCGTTTTCCCAGCAGTTTCTGGGTATGCCTGTTATGCCCACCTTCCAGGTAGCAGGGAAGGAAGGAAAGGACTGGCTTTCACCTGGAAACTGAGGTGTAACATCTAGAGAATTTGTATAGTTTTGAATTTTCCCTACCATGGTGAGATCCTCAACTCTGTCTCATGGGGAACAGGATTTGTAGAGTAATATTCAGAGGTAGACTAGGAAGATGCTAGGAAGTCTCATCTTCCCCATGCAATGGACATGGAGGTGGGAGGAAGGAATTAGAAAAGCATCCATATCATAGACTGAAAGACAGTGAGTCAGAGCAAAGCTAGTCTTGGCCTGAGGAGGTACTTGAGGTTGGTTCCTCCCTGCTCTTACATGGAGAGGTTGAAAAGTGATTCATAGGAAACTTTAATTGGTGTTTCATAGCTTTCCAGGGCTATTAAGGACTTGTGGTTCACAATGGCAACTCCCAGTGTTTCGAGCCTTTGTGGTTGGGACTTCCTTGCCTGCAAGGTGATGGGATGAAGGTGGTATCTGTGGTGGCTTGTACCGCTTCCTCCTCTGCCCTCAAATCCTTTCTCCTCTGCAATGCCTGGGGTGAAGTGCAGGTCACAGAGCCTGGAATGTTTTCTTTTTGTATAGATCATGATTCTCAACCGATGTGGGTAATTTTATTACCCAAATGTCCTCATAAGAAATTGACGTGCCTGCTATTGCATACATGCTGTAAGAAATACGGTCAATTTATTATATACATAACATAGAGGTCACTTCCACTGCATTCTTTCCATCCTTAGGAGTTGTGCTATGTAAACACATCCTAAACAACCAGAACAGTGTGATGTAGTAGGGGGCAGCGTGTCAAGATACATGAGATGGGGTCTGGAGAAGGCAGAATTCCCTGGGAGGCCTTGATGGAACAATTAGGCCTCAAAGAAGGGGTAGGATTCAAGAGTTGGTAATAGGGCAGGTAGGCCATAGCTATGACCTCCCAGGGAAGGCGGCCTGCCCCAGCTCAGACAGAGCCAAGTGTTCACTGATGCCATGTCCCATCACCTGGGTTCTTTAGGCAATTCCCAGACCTGGAATGTTGACTAGGAAAGCCATGCTCCCAAGAAGTTGAGTCTTCCATGTGAAACAGCTCCTCTTTCTAAGTGGCCAGAGAACCTGGGCTGGTACAGTTGTGGGCTGGTACAGTTGTGGGCTCTGAATCAGGCAGACCTGGCTTTGGGCAAAGTCCTCGACCCTGAGCCCATTTCCTCCTCTGTAAAATGGGGATAATTCTAGTATTTACTCATGGCATTATAATGAGGATTAAATGAAGTTATGTGTGTAAACCCTTAGCATAATGCCTGGCACAAAGTAAATGCTCAGTAAAAGGTAGTTTTTCCTTTTTAAAAAATTCAAGAGCAGCAGCAGATATGAGACTAGACTCACAGTGTATCACCTACTGTTTCCATTACTATTTCTTCAGAACAAACGACCCCAAACAAGAACATTTTATTAAGCTCATGGAGACTTGGGTCAGGAATTTGGAAAGAGCTCATTAGGGATGGCTTGTCAATGTCTGGGGCCTCACCTGGGAAGACTTGAAGGCTAGGGGAGGCTGCAGATGGAGGCAGGAACCATCTGAAGGTTGTTCACACACATGGCTCAGTGCCTGAGCTGGGAGAAGCTGGAGGCCAGGACTGCTGATGGGAGTGCCCATGTGCAGTCTGTCCATGAGCATGGCTCTCTTAGGGCTCTTGGCCTTACATAGTGGCTCAAGGCTGCAGACCCAAGTGTTCCAGTGAACATGGGGAAGCTGTAGCATCTTTTCTGATCTAGCTTAGAAGTCGGGCATTGTCATTTCTTCTGCATTCTGTTAAAGTGAGTCTCAAGACCACTCAGCTTCAAGTGGAGAGGACACAGACCCACCTCTCAGTGGGAAAAGTGTCAAGATCACACTGGGGAAAAGCACAGAGGATGGGAGATGATGGACCACTTTGAAAATGCAACCTTCCATGCCTGCTAAGGGAACTCTGCTAGCAGAGCTTGGGGATACAAGGCCCTGGAGAGCCTGTGCGGCGGCTGCACCCCATGGCCACCTGCCAAGAAAGAACTGCTTTCTGTTGACAAAACCATCGAGCATCTGATAGGCTTCCTCTTTTTTGGTTATTTTTATCTGGTATGTAGCTGGGTACTTCAGAGGTATGACGGAGATCTGGCAGCTCTTCTCAGTCAGTTTGAGCTGATACGATGAGAAAATTCAGGGGAGGCAGGTGTTTAAGGAGATGTTCTTTAGTAAGGAAAGTGGCTGCACAAAAGCCTCTGGCTTTCTGTTTCCTGCTGGTGATATCTGCGCCTGGATGAGGTGAGGGATGGAGTCCCAGCTGTGTTTTCTGGGCTTAATTTGCACAAGATGGCAAGGGCTGTAGGTGTCCAAGTTGACGCCTTTTGAAGCAGTTATATTTTAGGATGTTAGAGAGAGCTAGGTGTCCTGCAGACACGTGGGAGGTTTGGTCAGGGAGATGGTGCTTATTCTTCTGTTTTAATCATGAGAACCTTTCACTCAGCAGCATGGGAGATGTGGGAAGTGGGTACGGCCTCCAAGAAAGAGATGAAAGTGAAGTTCCCATAGAAAGTTGGGGCTGGTTAAAGGAGTCATTTTTCAAGGCTGATGAATTGTGCTGTGCCTACAGGAGGCCTATAAATATATTAGTTCCCTATCATGTCTCCTTCTATCCTCCAGCCCAACAAGGCAGCAGAAATCCACACCTCATGCTGTTAAGTCATGCGGCAGGCATGGATGTGGGCACATTATGAGGAAGCCTGGTGCTTTGGGTTGTTTCTCCAGTGCTGGTCCACATGAATACATCTGATTTGTTCCCTTGTTCCCCAGAACACATATGCACATTATGGCCAGCCAGAGTTGTTTGGGAGTGGCCTGGTTCAAACTATCACCCTAGTATCCCAATCTTGTTAACTAACCAGCCTGTCTGAAAACTTTGCATAAGGCCTGGGTGCCTGTCTGAAGGATCAAGACACTAGCCAGCCCCAGGAAGCTCATCTATCCGTTCTGTCTCCTCTGACGTCATTCTTAGGTTGTGCCATTCCCTGAGTTCCTTGCTGCATGCCCTTGGCTGACATTGCAAAGTGCATTGCACTGATACCTGGGGGCTTGCCAGAGATGTCCCAAATGAATGCAGGACTGAGCCGCGTTGGCAAGGAGTGGCTGTTCTCAGCATGCCAGAACTGTGGAATTGCATCTGGTCTAGTTAGTAGCAGTCAGTAATATGTGAGTTGGTAGCTACAACTGAAAATGAAGGAACCCTGTTTCTAGGTGTTTGTGGCTGCAGAAGCTTCAGTTCCTGTTGGAAGGGAAGAGTGGGTGGGTGAATGTTAGCCTAGAGGTAGGAGGAGTGGGACCACTAAACCCCGCTGAACTCACTAAATGCTAGTATATTCCTGTGAGATTGGTGACATACAGGGACTTAGCCAGAGCAAGTAAGTGATGTGATGTCAGAGAGATTTCCTAGGACTCATGGACCACTCTTTCTCCGTGTATGTGAAATTAATTACTCTGTCTGACTGTCCCATCCTTTCCATCCCCAGTACTTGAGTTTGTCATTCACCATTGTCCCCTGGACAATTGTAATAGGTTACTTACTGTGGCTCACTGCCAGTCTGTTGCTTTTTCAGTTTAATTTGTCTCACTGCAACCATAGTTGTTTTGCTGAAACTCAAATCTTGTCACAACACTTTTCTGCTTAAAAACTACTTGTGACTCCAGGGTCATTTCCAAGTTCCTTGGCAGGGTCTGTAGTCTTCCAGTCCTGCCCCAGCCCTTCACTGCGGCTCCTTCTTCTCCCTTTCTACCTCATGAAAGTTCTGCTCCAGCTACAAGGGACTATTTCTTAGATATGTCAAGGCCCCTCAGCCCTCTTGGACCTGGACTCACGTTATTCCCTCTGCTGGGAGTGGTCTTTCTTCTGATTCTCCCCCTGGACCAAACCCTGTCCTCTCGTTACAGCACAGAGAGCAGTTGTTTATTCTGTGAGCCCCTTCTAAGGAGCCCCTTCCTCTGTACATTCTAGTTTCAGGCATCCTCCATGTTAGGTGTTCAAACAAGATGGGTGGACGGGGTAGGGTAAGGCATCATCAAGAGCATGAGAGTAGCCAGTGGTCCCCACTTTACCACTTTCTGGCTGGGTAGCTCAGGGGAATATCCTCACTTCTCAGCCACAGCTTCTTCATCTGTAAGTAGAGATTAAAACAGTACATATCCGTAAATAGAGATTAAAACAGTACATCTGTTTTTATATAAGTACTGCACGTAAAATGCTTAGCATGGTGCCTGCCATGTGGTAAGTGCTCAGTAAATGCTAGCAATGATGATGACAGTGTTATAGGTGTAGACTTATATGGCCAGAATGAGAGAAGTTTGGCCTGGTGCAGTGGCTCATGCCTGTAACCCCTGCACTTTGGGAGGCCGAGGACGGTGGATCACCTGAGGTCAGGAGTTTGAGACCAGCCTGGCCAACATGGCGAAACCCCGTCTCTGCTAAAAACACAAAAATTAGCCAGGTGTGGTGGCACATACCTGTAATCCCAGCTACTCAGGAGGCTGAGGCATGAGAATTGCTTGAACCTGAGAGACGGAGTTGCAGTGAGCAGAGATCGCGTCGTGACACTCCAACCTGGGTGACAAAGGGGGACTCCGTCTCAAAAAAAAAAAAAAAAAATAGCTGGGCGTGGTGATGTGTGCCTGTGGTTGAGGCTACTTGGGAGGCTGAGGTGGGAGGATTGCTTGAGCCCAAGGCAGCAGGGGGCAGAGGTTGCAGTGAGCTGAGATTATACCACTGCACTCCAGCCTGGGTGACAGAGTGATACCTTGTCTCAAAACAACAACAACAACAATAACAACAACAACAAACAACAAAAAACAAAAGGGAGAGAGAGAGGTTCCGTCCTAGTTTCCTTTATAGGATCATCTATTTATCCCTCTCTTTTCCTTTCCTTTTTTCTGTGTAGGTGACTGTCGACCTTTTCTAGTAACCACAGTGGTTGGTATCTTTTACCAGTTTCTGCCAAAGTAGGTAGATTCTCAGGCATGCGTGTTGGCTGGGAGGAATCTTGATTTTTTGGAGTGAAATCTTGGATTCTGTCCTGATTATAATTCTGGTCTTGGATGTTGGTTATGTCTTAGAGGCTTTAGCCCTTTCCACCCATGGTGCTGGTGTCTCTTCGCAGAGAACTAGGTGGACACTGCATTAGTCAGGGTGGGGCCTCATGGTCCTGATATATCTTTTCACAGCCAAGGATCTAGTGTCTTAAGAGTTGACTTGCCAGGGCTTGTGACTCTCTGGTGACCAGTGGTCCTTATGCTTTGGGACTCCAGCCAGTATCCCCTGACTACTTTTAATAGCATCAGACTGGTTTGATAGGGAAGACTTTCTGAACCCTGGGATGTGATGGAGCAAGGAGACCCTCCTTCTGTAAAATAACCATTCCCTCTGCTTTTGAGTATGTCAGGAGGGTCTTTCCTGGGATGAATGAGCAGTGAGTAATGCTTCTCCCTTGGCTGACTATGGTTGCTGGTGAACAGTGGAGCTGGGGTCCAGAGGTTTTGGAGTGGACACTTATTCTTTGCCTTTCTGATATATGAGCCTCAGCCTTTCTCACCACTGTCTAAGAGTGCTTTCTGCTGCTCTGGGGATGAGTCATTGGATAGGGCACACATTTTAGAAAAGAAAAAAGATAAGTGGATGGTGATTTGATATGGATGGGGGCAGGAACTGGAGATTCCCCTGAGAAATGACTACCCCTTTGAGGTGGGCATTGGTCGAAGCAACAGCGCCCTAGAGATGGGTAGAAAGTGAGAGATCTTTGGCCGGGTGTGGTGGCTCACGCCTGTAATCCCAGCACTTTGGGAGGCCGAGGTAGGCAGATCACCTGAGGTAAGGAGTTCGAGACCAGCCTGGCCAACAAGGTGAAACCCTGTCTCTGCTGAAAATAGAAAAATTAGCCGGGTGTGGTGGCAGGCGCCTTAATCCCAGCTACTTGGGAGGCAGGGGCAGGAGAATAATTTGAACCTGGGAGGCAGAGGTTGCAATGAGCTGACATCAAGCCATTGCACTCAAACCTGGGGGACAAGAGCGAGACTTCTCTCAAAAAAAAAAAAAAAAGTGAGAGATCTTTTAGTTCAGGGTGTTTCATAGTTTTTATAGCCTAGTGTCTTAAGGGCTGATGGGAGAGGATTTTTTTTTAAATCAAAGTGGAGGTTCTAGGTTGAGAATGCTTTATTTGGGGCCCGAGTGAACAGCTATATGGGACCTACCTGCTACTGCTAGCGCCAAATATATACCTATTTTGAGGGTGAATCTCTAACGGAGAGAGCAGAGCTTTAAGATCGTAGGGATTCCTTTGCTTTATTAGTTTTTTTCTCACACTTGTGAACATTTAAGTTTTTGGTTCCTAGCTCTCCCACTGACCTTCCTCATAGTTTATCTGGATATACCATGTAGAGGATGAGGCATGGTATTGAATTTGCAGGGTCCAGCCTGTACTACTCAAAGCAAAACTCAAAACTTCTGAAATGGTTTCAGACCTAGTGTAGGAGGGTTTCTTCTCCTGCCCATCAACACCCTCCCCGCAAGCCACAAGCTACTGTCTCAGCCATGGTGCTTTTAGCACATATTTGTCCTAAATTATGCCTGGGGAGATGCTGCCTGCCGGTAAGCTTTTGCCACCACACCTTGCCAAGCTATTAGAGTTTGATCCTGAGTGTCTGTGAGCTTCCCAAATATTTATTTTATTTATTTATTTATTTTGAGACGGAGTCTCGCTCTGTCGCCCAGGCTGGAGTGTAATGGCGCGATCTTGGCTCACTGCAACCTCCACCTCCCGGGTTCAAGCGATTCTCCTGCCTCAGCCTCCCGAGAAGCTGGGATTACAGGCGCCCGCCATCATGCTCAGCTAATTTTTGTATTTTTAGTAGAGATAGGGTTTCACCATTTTGGTCAGGCTGGTCTCCAACTCCTGACCTCAGGTGATCCACCCGCCTCGGCCTCCCAAAGTGCTCGGATTACAGGCTTGAGCCACCACACCCGGCCCCAAATATTTAGTCTTAACTTCTTAAGCACTCTCATTTAAATATAAAAGCCTAGTTCCCTTCCCTAGAAGGATATGAAATAAGACTCAGGTGGTTTGGTTTTAGTCCAGGACCTCCTGGGTTCTAGTGGAAAGGGCAGTGGACTTAGAGGTAGAATTAGGTTTGACTGATAGCTTTGGTGGCTTCTCTTCCAGTTCTCTTCTGTTCTAAACACAGGTTTCTCTCCTTGTCCCTGCCAGTGAGAAGTAGCCATTAGCTTGATAGTGCCATGTAGAGACCCACTTCTAGTGCTGGGCTCTGTGTTCAGTAGTGTTATGGGCATTGGTCCATTCCGGATGTAGGATTCAGCAAGGTTATGCCCAGTGGATTTATAATATGAGACTGTCCCCAGGCAAATAAAAGTAAGTTGTGGGTCATACACTGTGGCCTATGAGAGACTGGTATTGTAGAGATGTATCTTCTCAACATTTGACCCCCAAATGGAGGGGGCAGCAGGGTATAGTGAAAGGAGCATAGGCCTAGAAGCCAGAGCAAGATTCAAATCTTGACTCTTTCGCTTCCTAGATGTGGAAAAGTTACTTGCCCTTTGAGTCCCAGCTTCCTCAACTATAAAATGAGGATGCTACCCAACTTGCAGGATAGCCATGAAAACTGCATGAGGTAATGTGGATGTGAAGTGTCTAGTATTGCACCTGGGACATAGTAGGTATGCAAAAAAATAGTAGCTGCTATTATTATTAAATAATTTATGAAAGTAACAAAAACACATGTTTATCCTAGATGATTTTGGATTTCGACAATGATGAAAGTGAAGAAAAACGTTTCGCTTATCATCTTATATACTAATGTTTTATTATAATATAGTTACATGTATTAAGCTGCCTATTATATCTTTTTTTTTTTTTTTTTTTTTTTTTTTTTTTTGGGGACAGAGTCTCACTCTGTCTCCAGGCTGGAGTGCAGTGGCACGATCTTGGCTTACTGCAACCTCTCCCTCCCAGATTCAAGTGATTCTCTTCCCCAGCTTCCCAAGTAGCTGGGACTACAGATGCGTGCCACCATGCCCAGCTAATTTTTATATTTTTAGTAGAGATGGGGTTTCACCATGTTAGCCAGGATGGTCTTGATCTCTTGACCTCATGATCCACCTGCCTCGGCCTCCCACAGTGCTGGGATTACAGGCGTGAGCCACCGTGCCTGGCCTTTTTGACATACATTTTGTTGTTGTTGTTTGTTTTTGAGATGGAGTCTCTCTCTGTCACGCAGGCTAGAGTACAGTGGCGTGATCTTGGCTCACTGCAGAGGCAACCTCTGCCTCTCAGGTTCAAGCGATTCTCCTGCCTCAGCTTCCCGAGTAGCTGGGATTACAGGCGCCCACCACCACGCCTGGCTAATTTTTGTATTTTTAGTAGGGATGGGGTTTCACCATGTTGGCCAGGCTGGTCTCGAACTCACCTCAGGTGATCCACCCGCCTCGACCTCCCAAAGTGCTGAGATTACAGGCGTGAGCCACCGCGCCCAGCCTGATATAAAATATTTGAAGTGTCATGTGTACATAATCTAGTTTAAAAAGCCGAAATATATTACAAGCCTTGTAATAAATAACAAAGGTCTCCTGCTTTATCCTTTCTCACTCACTGACTCTTCCTCCTGGCTGGTGATCTTGAGGGGAGATATTGGTTTAATTTACACGGTATTTGAACACCCCTTGCCTATTTAGCACAGTGCCTGATACATACAGGCTTTCAGTACATGTGGGTTATTATATTATTTTTGAAAGGTTTAAATCAATACTTAGTATAGAACATAGATTTCAGGTTGATTAACTTTACGGCAGCTTGGAGAGGCTATCCAAATCTTTCATTGTATCATACTGAGACTCTGTTGACTGGGATCTTGGTTTTGGTTTAGATTTGCAATTTTGATATGTCTGTGTCTGTTTTGCTGTAGTAATGAGCAAGATATTTTGTAGGAATTGAACTCTGTATTAATTCAGTTAGATTAGCTGTGAGAAATAGACACTTAAAGTAACACTAGCTGAAATAAGTGTCTCTCTTGTATGTAAAAGTTTGGCATGAGATGGCCAGTGATTGGCAAGACATCTCTGTTCCATGAGCCTTACCTCCTTCTCGTTCACAGCTCTGCCAACTCTTGGGGCATGATCATGTCCTCATGGTCCAAGATGGTAGCTAGACCTCCAGCTATCACATTCACTTTCCAGATAGCACAGTGTATAAAGGGATGAAGAACAAAGTCCAAAGGCCTAGAGCTGGAATCTTTTAAGACAGGTTACAGAAAGCACCTACAATGACACTTTTTAGTTACCTGGCTACATCTCAGAACAAGGAGGCTGGAAAATGTAGTAAATGTTCTGAGTGGCCTGGTGCCCATCTTGCAATTGTGGGTTCCATTACTATGGGAGGAGGGGAGAATAACCACTGAAGGGCGACTAGCAGTCTGGGTCACAGATTTCAGGCTCTTTTCCTATCATTAATCCCTTGTTAGTCCTTCCCTGATATGCTGCCAGGATTGCTAATGTAGCAATCCCTTTCTGCTGTGTTTTCAATTTGTTTTCTCTTTCTGCTGCTGACTCTGTCCTTCTGCTTTAACCCTTACTTGGAGATTTCTCTCCCATTCACCCCTTCAGAGTTGGAGGCCTTGAGACACTTGCTTGGATGTGCGATGGAAGCAGACAGGTAATTCCTTCCTTGGGGGCAATGACCTACTGCTTTCTGCATAACGTGCTTATAGTTGCAGCATTGAGATCAGTGGTTCCCTTGGGGAGAGGGTTACTGAAAGGTATCTTTGACAGTGTTTGTATAAAGTGTAAATATTTCTGTTTTTCAAATGTGCATGGGTGCTGTTTTGTTGAGAAAATATGAATTCACTTAGAAGCATTTTCTTAGGGTGTTTAGTATTTTCTTAGTGTTTAATATGGCATGGTGGTCTGGGGTCCTGACTGATTTCATTCAGGCCTGGGCTGAATGAAATGTCCTGGCTTCGTCTCTTCCCACTTGTAGACCAGCCTGCCTGAATTTCAGTCTCCATATCTGAAAGTGGGCATAGTTATAGTACCTACTTTCCGTATTGATGAGAGGATTAAATAAGATTATAGGTGTAAATCACTTAGCTTAGCACCTGGTATGTTGGAAGGACTCCATAAACATTAGTTGTGGTTATTATTTTCTTCTTAATCAACACACACTAAAAGTACAAATAGCATCATAATGGCTTTTTTTTTCAGCTGAAAGGACATATTTTGAAAGGTTGGAAATCATTACTGTAGCTTCTCAGGGGACTCCAATATGGCCAGCCCTGGAACAGGTAGCTGGGGACCAGTACCTAAACTGATTTAAGCAGACACCTTTTGGGATGATTTGCATTCATTTGTTAATTCCAGATGAATGTTTATTGAGCGCTTATTATTCCTCTTCAGGTTATAGGCATAGAAAGGGAGACCACTGTAGTTCAGCTTTACTCTAGCTCAGGAAAAGGTCACTGTATTGAATGCTCTCTCTCTCTCTCTATGAGGGGTGTTTTGTACCCATTCATTTGCTTTGGTTTCCTCTTTTATACCAAAAGGGAGTGACTCCTAAGTCCCCAAGGAGCCAATTCTCTCCACCTTTCTGTAGTTACTGTGGCAGGGACTCTTGGCTGCTGTGCCTGAGTCCTTGTTGGGAAGCATAGCTTTGCTGGTTGTGCCAGTGGAACCCGGTGCAGCTCTGCTGACAATGCGGAAGCTGCTGGGGCCACCGTTGCTGCTGGCGTCTCCCTTCCATCTCTAGGCAGCACCGCAGCTCTGCTGAGGTCGAGTCGGGGAGTCTAGGTGGTGAATCATTTGCCTTGGTAAGCAAGTCTGGCCTCTCTTGGCCTTGCCTGGAGAGACAGAGCGGGCAGAGCCCCACGGGCCAGGAGAAGCTGGGGGATGCACAGCGGCCGCACTCTGGCTCCCTGGTAGTGGTCCACGAGTCAGGCTCTCTCATGCAGCTCTTGCTGCGTCAGCACAACAGGGAGCCTGCTATGTGTTGGGTCTGAGATCATCTTCCTTCCTCCACTGGAGGCAACGTGCTGTAGGAAGCAAATATCTCACGTGCCACTCAGGAGCCCTAAAGGCTGGCTGTGTCTAATGAATAGGGCTTTTCTCTGGGGTAGAATCACTTCACCTAACTCCTTTTCCCCCTATGTTTAGCTGTTCTTCAGCTCAGATGGATGGTGGGGCTTGGCTGGCTCCTGGGAAGGACTGACACAGTTTCCAGGGAGTTACAGACTCCAGGAATGTCAGAGGTAGGGAAATGGGGGCCTGGTGAAGGTCACACAGTGGTGGAGCGAGAACCCAGACACCCTGGGTCTCCATCTGTTGCTTTTTTCTTTCTGCCTTGGTGTAGCTCAGAGACTGTTTTTATTAAGGTGAGACAGGATGCTGTGACATAGATCTGGAGTTTAAGCCCTGGGCTTTGGCAGGAACAAGCAGGAGTACGTATATGCCTTCCTCTATTACACCCTCCCAGGATGGATTTTGCATATCAGGAGAGATGGAAGAACCAAGTGATGGAAAGCCGGAAGCCTTTGAAAAGTTTCCTTTGTAGGATATGCTAGTTTCCTTCTCCCTACCCCAAGAAAACAAAACTGAAGGCACAGTTCTATGCTAGGGTAGCAGATTGAACATGTGAAATGCTACAGCTACCTTTACTCCCTCCTGAAACCCAGTGAAAGCCACAGCAAACCTACAAGGTGCATGGGAGAAGAGACGATAGCTGTTATGTTTTGGAGACTGGAAAACTGATGGAGAAGTGGTAACTGACTTAGAACATTTGAGAAAGATAATTAAGTTGACAGTAGGGAAAGCAAAAAAAAAAAGCAATCCCTTTATATCACAGAATCTCCTCTACTTTATGCAGCCACTTGACTGCCTTTTCTTCTTGGAAAGGGTAAAACAAGAGTTACTGGACTGGAGACAGCAAGCACAGAAAAAAATAAATAAAACAAAACATACCTCCTACGCGTCCTTTCTAAGGAACTACTGGAGAGTACACACCACCGAAGCAGGGGAAGGAATCAGTAAAGAGGGGAGTGGGGTACAGGACACAGGGATTAACACAGGAGGGAGACGAAGGGAACCCCTTAGGACTGTGTACCAGACGTAGAGGATGGGCAGCTTAGATCTGAGCAGCGTGACTCAGAATGTCATCACCAACTTACCTGCAATCATTGTGCCATTGATTTAACTGGAGGACTGACTACCTGGGGAAGCCTGGGGCAGATTGTATCTGCTCTTGGCTGTCTTGCTCATGTGCTGATGAAGCTTCTGTCGCCCCTCCTTGCCCTGCTGATGGATAGACGCATTTTATATTAACAGAAGTGTTTTCTTTGCCCAACCCTCGATGCTAAAGGTAGGTCCATGTGAATTTAGAAACAGAAAATATGAGCCAGGCACGGTGGCTCACTCCTGTAATCCCAGCACTTTGGGAGGCCGAGGCAGGCGGATCACTTGATGTCAGGAGTTCGAGACCAGCCTGGCCAACATGGTAAAACCCCGTCTCTACTAAAAATAAAAAAAAAAGTATCTGGGCGTCCTGGTGTGTGCCTGTAATCCCAGCTACATGGGAGGCCGAGGCAGGAGAATCGCTTGAACCCAGGAAGTGGAGGTTGCAGTGAGCCAAGATTATGCCATTGCACTCCAGTCTGGGTGACAGATTGAGACTCAAAAACAAACAAACAAAAGAAACAGAAAATACAGAAGAGTCCCACTCTCGCAATTACCTTGACCCCTACCACCAGGTGTTCCCACTGTGGTTACCTGCCCTGTGTTTCCAGGACTTGTTCATGATCTTGCCTATCAACTTTCCCAGGAAGGGCTCTTGTAAATTCCATGGGAATTTCCCAGAGACTCTGTTTAGCTTATTCCCTTTGGGAAGGCTTCATTTAGCAAAGGCAGTATTTTTACTCCTCCATGGTGTTGTGGGTAGAATAGTGTCCCCCACAACCCTCCACACAAACAATAAGTTGAAGTCCTAACCTGTGAAATTTGGAAATACCATCTTTGCAGATGTAGTCAAGTTAAGATGAGGTCATACTGGATTAGGATGGGCCCTAATCCAATGACCGATGTCCTTATAAGGACACATAGACAAATAGGAGAATGTTAGGTGAAGATGCAGACAGATACACAAAGGGAAGATGGCCATGTGAAGATGGAGGCAGAGATTAGACTTAACGCTGCTACGAGCCAAGGGACACTAAAAACTACTGGCAACTGCTAGAAGCTAGAAGGGTCAAAGAAGGATCCTTCCCTGGAACCTTTGAAGGGAGATGGCCCTGCCGACACCTTGATTTTGGACTTCTAACCTCCAGAACTGTGAGAGAATAATTTCTATTGTTTTGAGCCACCCAGTTTCTGTTAATTTGTTATGGCAGCCCTAGGAGGCTACAACACACAGCTTCATTTTTTGTTTGCCACTCACTTTTTCAAAACTAAACATTATCTTATTTAGAGATGTGTACATAGCTGGTAAAATCATAAAGAGAAGTAAAGAAATGAATAACAGAAGTCACGGTTGTCAGATGTTTAGGGAGAGAGGAAAGGGGGTGGTGGAGAGAGACACATGGAACTTCTAAAGGGACCGGATGGGATTATGTGGGTTTTCATATTATGTTCTTTAAACCATATATACATTTTTAAATTTTAGAAATGGAGTTTCACTGTGTTGCCCAGATTGGAGTGCAGTGGCTGTTCACAGGCACAAACATGGTGGTGCTATAGCCTTGAATTCCTGGGCTCAAGCCATTCTCCTGCCTCAGCCTCCCAAGTAGCTGGGACTACGGGTGTGCTCCACCACTCCCAGCCATATATACATTTGTACATGTTACATGTATACATTTTAATGTACTCTCCTATGTGTATAATACGTTTAACAATAAACTTTAAAAAATAAAACAAAACATAACCCTCAAAACCAAATTAGCTGAGTTACGTAATGTAGGAGAGATGGCATTGAATCATCTGAACCAAATGCAGGCCTGAGGACATGAGCCTTGGCACCAAGGTGAGCATTTAGCAAATTGAAGCCTCTTGTACTAATGGAGATGAATAATAAATAAGAAATCTGAAAATGACATAGATCATCAACCAAAGCTAAGTTTACCATTAGGACCTAATGGGAGAGTCTCCTCAGTGATGCCAAGTTTTGAGAGCCTGGCCTCAGCTAAATGATATTAGGTCAGATTCACAAATCCCTTAGTGGCAAGACACCCCCGATTTCTCCTGCTGACCTCCTAATGGGATGGCCTTGAGACCATTTTAAGTGGTCTGCATTAAGCAACATTGAATCCCAAAGAAAGTCATTCAGCTTTTTTGTGTAAATGGAGGATCAACATTCATTTTGGTGCTGTTTGTCTGTAATTCCTCTCTAACACTTCAAATCTTTCTTCTCAAGCAGAGAAGGCAGGCCTTAGGCTCAGCATTTTGACCATATGCGGGTCTGCCACTGTACCATTTATTTTTGTTTCATTTTATTTGTTTGTACAGGTTACTCAATGTTAGGAGAATTTTTGGCTTTCCCATTTACAATAGTGATATAGAATTTCTTCTTTAAATTTTTTTTTAATTTTTAATTTTTGTGGGTACATAATAGGTGTATATATTTTTGGGGTACATGAGATATTGTGATACAGGCATATGATGCATAATAATCACATCATGGAAAATGGGATATCCATCCCCTCAAGCGTTTATCCTTTGTGTTACAAGCAGCTCAATTATACTTTAGTTATTTTTAAATGTACAATTAAATTATTTTGACTATAGTCACCCTGTTGTGCTATCAAATACTAGGTCTTATTCTTTCTATTTTTTGATGCCCATTAAATATTATTTAAATAATAATATTAAGTGGTATATATAGGTGGTGTCCTAATTGGGAAATAATCAAGAATGATGTCTTTGTGCCAGGCACAGTGGCTCACTTCTGTAATTCCAGTGTTTGGGAAGCCAAGGCAGGAGGATTGCTTGAGACCAGGCGTTCAAGACCAACCGGTCAATACAAAAAATAAAAAATTAGCTGGGGTTGGTGGTGCGCACCTGTAGTCCTAGCTACTCGGAATGCTGAGGTGGAGAAACGCTTGAGCCCAGTAGTTCAAGGTTACAGTGAGCTATGATTGTGCCACTGCACTCCATTCTGGGCAACAGAGTGAGACCCTGTCTTGACCTGATACTCACTTTTGTCACATTGTCTTTCCTTATAGAAGGCGAAAGGCCGTTGAGATAAGCTGAGAGTCTTCAGGTTATCTTTCTCTGTGTGTCCCCTACCCGACCTGGCACTAACTGGGTGTGTTAGTCACTGGTGAACCCCTGGCTGAGGTATTACTCTTTCTCTAGTCTCCTCCCAGTGCCCCTCCACCCCCTACCCCAATACCTGGCAACAATAAGATGGGAAAGTGGATAGTTTGAGAAGATGCACAGATATCCCATTGGTCAAGTATGTGACCAGCAAGAGATGAGTTCTTTTTTTTTTTTTTTTTTTTTTTTGAGACTGAGTGTCACTCTGTTGCCCAGGCTGGAGTGCAGTGGCGCAGTCTCGGCTCACTTCAACCTCCGCCTCATGGGTTCAAGAAATTCTCCTGCCTCAGCCTTCCAAGTAGCTGGGACTACAAGTGTGTGCCACCATGCCCAGCTAATTTTTGTATTTTTAGTAGAGACAGGGTTTTGCTATGTTGGCCAGTCTCGTCTTGAACTGCTGACCTCAGGTGACCCGCCCACCTCAGCCTCCTAAAGTGCTGAGATTATAGGCATGAGCCACCGCACCCAGCCGGGATGAGTTCTTTCAAAGAGCCTGGTCCTGTGCTTGGTTCCTAAAGGGGACATGGCATAGGTTCCAGAAGAAAAAGAATGAGGTTTTTGCTTTCTAGGAGTCATACTGTATCACATGCTAGCGGAAATGATGACACCCATATATATGCAGCAGTCAGGAGTGATTAGAAGTGCATATAGTGTTAGATTATGTGGTATTTGGATGCTGAAGGAAGAATTCAGGAAAAAGAAGTGCAGGGTAGACTAATCAATTACAGCTTTAGGGATTAGGCAGAAATGGAGGCAGGGCTTAAAGACACATAGGATTTCTTTCTGGCCTCTGTACGGCATGGCACAAAGGTGAAGAATGTGGTTCTGAAGTCAGACAGATCTGGATTTGATTCCCTTCCCCATCCCTCACTGACTGGGCAACTGACTTAACCTTTCTGTGTCTGGTTTGGAGTGCATAAAATGGGGAAAATAATTACACCTACTGCTGAGGGGTGATTTAAGGATTAACAAAAGTGATGGACATAAACAGCATCGTGCTGCTACGTAGTAAGTGACCCATAATGAGTAGGTGTCATTATTAATCAAGCATTCCATTTATCTATACAGCAAAAATGTATTGCGTGGTTATTGTGTGTCAGGGACTGCCAGGCCTTCCATATCAGTCCCTTGAGCGCTGAACCCTATGGTTTCCATTTATGTACAGGATACCTAATTATAATAATAACTATAGTGCTCCAAGTGCCAGGTACTCTGCTAGTTGCTTTATTGCTGTATCGCCTTTAATCTTTATCCCCATTTTGTAGAAGCAGGAATTGAGGTACAAAGTTTAAGAGATTTGTCCAGGGTCACATTAAGAGTGTCAAGCCTAGGATTTAAATTATCTGCTCTTTTCCTGTTCCATACTGACTCTTGTTACAGTGAACCTAGACCCATTATGTCCAAAACTAAACTTGGCTTCTTCAAATGGGCTTTTTCTCTCAACTTCCCAATTAGGGGCACCACCATTCTTCTGCTTGTCACCCAAACCTGAAAGGCTGGAGATGTCTTCCTTCTCCATCAGGCCCCTACATCTGGTTAATCACTGGGTCTTTAGTTCCAATGTATCTTTTCCTTTCTGTTCCACTGCCTGGCCAGGCCCCCATTGACTTACGCCTAGACTCGTTAGTTCTTCTCGGTACAGTCACACATCACTTAATGGCAGGGATACATTCTGAGAAATGCATCATTAGGCAATTTCATCATCGTGCGAACATCAGAGTGTACTTATACTACACACCTGGGCTATATGGTGTAGCCCAAGCTTGTCCCGCTATGGCTCAGGACACTTTTTCCTTTGTTTTTTTTTTTTTGTTTTTTTTTGTTTTTTTTTTTTTTTAGCTGTTGTTGGTGTATTTTATGTGTGGCCCAAGACATTTCTTCCAATATGGCCCAGGGAAGCCGAAAGATTGGACACCCCTGGTGTAGTCTGCTGTTTCCAGGCTACAAACGTGTACATGTTACTGTACTGAATATTGTAGACAATTGTAATGCAGTGCTAAGACTTTGTGTACCTAAATGTATCTATACGTAGAAAAGGTACAGTAAAAATATGATATAAAAATAAAAAATGGTACTTCTTTACAGAACACTCACCATGAAATGGAGCTTACAGGACTGGAAGTTGCCCTGGGTGAGTGAGTGGTGAGTGAATGTGAAGACCTAGGACATTACTGTATACCACCATAGACCTTATAAACACTGTACACTTAGGCTACACTAAATTTATAAAGAAAACTTTTTTTTAGACGGAGTCTCACTCTGTCACCCAGGCTGGAGTGCAGTGGTGCAATCGTGGCTCACTGCAACCTCTGCTTCCCAAGTTCAAGCAATTCTTCTGCCTCAGCCTCCTGAGTAGCTGGGAGTACAGGCACGGACCACCACACCCAGCTAATTTTATGTATTTTTAGTAGAGATGGGTTTTTGCTATGTTGGCCAGGCTGGTCTTGAACTGCTGACTTCAAGTGATCCTCCTGCCTCGGCCTCACAAAGTGCTGGGATTGCAGGCCTGAGCCATGGCGCCCAGCTGAAAAATTTTCTTTCTTCAATAATAAATTAATCTTAGCTTACTGTAACTTTTTAACTTTATAAACAAAAACTGTTTACTTCTTAACTCTTTTGTAACAATGGAGCTTAACATAAACACACTGTACAGCTTTACAAAAACATTTTCTTTCTTTTATCCTTATTCTATGAGCTTTTTTCTATTTACTTTTTTTTTGTTGTTTGTTTGTTTTTGAGAGAGAGGTCTCACTCACTCTGCCACCCAAACTGAAGTACAGTGGTACAATCACAGCTCACTGCAGCTTTGACTTCCCAGGCTCAAGTGATCCTCCTACCTCAGCCTCCTGAGTAGCTGGGACTACAGGCATGCACCACCACACCTGGCTAATTTTTCAATTTCTTTGTAGAGACAAGGTTTCACTATGTTTTCCAGGCTGGTCTCCAGCTCCTGGGCTCAAACGATCCTCCCACCTTGACCTCCCAAAGTGCTGGGATTACAGGCATGAGCCACCACCCTCAGCCTACATTTTTTTTTTTTTAAAGAGCCTGGTCCTGTGCTTGGTTCCTAAAGGGGACATGGCATAGGTTCCAGAAGAAACATCAGCCTACATTATTTTTTTTAACATACATTTTTTGTTGTTGTTGTTTTTACATTTTAAACTTTTTTGTTAAAAACTAAGACACAAACACATTTTAGCTTTGGTCTACACAGGGTCAAGATCATATCACAGTCTTCCACCTCTACATCTTGTTCCTCTGGAAGGGGCAAAACACACCTGGAGCTGTTAATCTCCTATAATAACAATGCCTTCTTCTGGAATACTTCCTGAAGAACCTGCCTGATGCCGTTTTACAGTTAACTTTTTTTTTTTTTTTTTGAGACGGAGTCTCGCTCTGTCGCCCAGGCCGGACTGCGGACTGCAGTGGCGCAATCTCGGCTCACTGCAAGCTCCGCTTCCCGGGTTCACGCCATTCTCCTGCCTCAGCCTCCCGAGTAGCTGGGTCTACAAGCGCCCGCCACCGCGCCCAGCTAATTTTTTTGTATTTTTAGTAGAGACGGGGTTTCACCTTGTTAGCCAGGATGGTCTCGATCTCCTGACCTCATGATCCACCCGCCTCGGCCTCCCAAAGTGCTGGGATTACAGGCGTGAGCCACCGCGCCCGGCCTGACAGTTAACTTTTTTTTACATAAGTAGAAGGAGTGCACTCTAAAATAATGATTAAAAAGTATAGTATGCTGGCCAGGCACAGTGGCTCCCACCAGTAATCCCAACACTTTGGGAGGCTGAGGTGGGAGGATCGCTTGAACCGAGGAGCTTGAGACCAGCCTGGACAATGAAGTGAGACCCACTTCTCTACAAAAACTAAAATAATTAGTTGGGTGTGGTGGCACATACCTATAGTCACAGCTACTCAGGAGGCTGAGGTGGGAGAATCACTTGAGCCCAGGAGATTGAGGCTGCAATAAGCTATGATTGCACCACTGCACACCAGCCTGAATGACAGAGTGAGACCTTGGGTCCAAAAAAAAAAAAAGTAAATACATAAACCAGTAACATAGTCGCTTATTAGCATTATCAGGTATTATGTATGGTACATAATTGTATATGCTATGCTGTTATACGACTGCCTGCACAGTAGGTTTGTTTACAGCAGCATCACCACAGACACATGAGAATACATGGTGCCATGACATTATGACAGCTGCCATCATCACTAGGTGATAGGAAGTTTTTAGCCCTATTATTACCTTATGGTACCACCATCATGGTTTTGGCCTGTCATTGACTGAAACGTCATTATGCGGTGCATGACTGTTTTTGCCATTGCTCGACAGGAGAGGTGAGGTTTACACAATGCACTCTTATGGACTTCACCAAAATTTGATAAAACATTCTTACATTTTTCAAGATGTGAAAGCATGACAGTTTGTTATTGCCACAGCTGTTTGTCAGTGGTAGAAGTTTACAGTGGGCTTACTGCAGTGGTACAAATATGTAAACTGCTGTGAATATAACCTTTCTCTTCCACTCAGGAAAGCATGTTGGGAGATAACAGCTCTCCCCTCTGTTTGTGTTTTAAAGCTTTCCTCTTTAAACAAATGGGGCTGCGACAACTGCATAGCCACATGCAAAAGAATGAAATTCGACCCCTGTTATATGCAGAAATTAAAAGTGGATCAATGACCTAAATGTAAGAGCTGAAACCATAAAACTTTTGGAAGAAAACATAGAATTAAATCTTCATGATCTTGAATGTGTTAATGATTCTTAGATATTATACCAAAAGTATGTGCAATAAATAAAAAAATAAAGTGGACTTCATCTAAATTAAAAACTTTGGTGTATCAAAAGTATCAAGTAAGGGAGAAGACAGCCAGTAGAATGGGAGAAATATTTGCAAGTCATGTATCTGATAAGGGTCTAGTATCAGAATATATGAAGAGCTCTTATAACTCAATAATAAAAAGACAAACCACTTACTTTAAAAATGGGCAAAGGATTGAGTGGACATTTCTCCAAAGAAGATACACAAATGGACAACAAACTCATGAGAAGATAGATGTTCAATATCATTAGTCATCAGGGAAATGCAAACCCAAACCACAATGAGTTACCATATCACATGCACTAGGATGGCATTAAGAATACCAATAATAAGGAAAATAACAAGTATTCGTGAGGATGTGGAGAAATTGAAACCCCCATAGTCTGCTTGTGGAAATGTAAAATGGTTCTTCTGCTGTGCAGAACAATTTGGTGGTTCCTTCAAAAGATAAACACGAATTACCATGCGATCCAGCAAATATGCTCCTAGATCTGTACCCCCCAAATGACAACAAGTATACAAATATATGTATACACATGTTCATACACACTAGTCACAGTAGCCAGAAAGTGGAAACAACCCATGTGTCTATCAGTGGACAAAAGGATAAACTGTAATATGTACATACAGTGGAATATTATTCACCCATAAAGAGGAATGAAGTACTGATATAAGCTATAATGTGGATGAACTTGAAAACATGTTCAGTGAAATAAGCAGGTGTGTCACATATTGTATGATTGTATTTACATGAAGTATTCAGACTAGGTAAATTTATAAAGACAAAGGACATTGGTGATTGCTAAGGTTTGGGAGGAGGGAGAATGGGGAATAATTGCTTAATGGGTACAGGGTTTCCTTTTGGGGTGGTGAAAATGTTTTGGAACTAGACAGGTGGTAGTTGTACAACATTGTGAATGTACACAATATCACTAAATTGTTCACTTTGAAATGGTTAATTTTATGTTATGTGGATTTCAGCCCAAAAAAAAGGTCTACAAAAAATAAAATAAGGCTTTCACAAGCTTTGGTGCTTTAATGATTAGTAGCAACGGGTGCTTGGTAGATACCGGTATTTGAGGACATGATTATTGAGAGTCACTGGCGTGCACTACCACACCTAGCTAATTTTTTGTATTTTTAGTAGAGACGGGATTTCACCATGTTGGCCAGGCAGGTGTCAAACTCCTAATCTCAGGTGATCCACCCGTCTCGGCCTCCCCAAATGCTGGGATTACATGCGTGAACCACTGTGCCCAGCCAGGAATTTATTTAATTGTGACATGTGTATTTTAGTTTCTTCATCAGTAAAACTGAGATGGCAATAGTACCTGCCTTGTAAGTTGTTGTGAGGATTAGAGATAGTGGCTATAAAATGGGTGGTACAAAAATGGATGCACTGTAGGTGTTTAAGAAATGATGGCTCTGACCATCAATCCATGGCAGCTAAATGCTGGAGCCCACAGGAGAGGCCAGGAGGATGGCAGAAGAGTTCTGTTCTGTGGTTTCCCTGTGATTAATGCAGACTCTGGTTTCTTCTGTATTCTTTTCCTTGCCTAGTATTGATCCTCCAGAAGGTGGAGAATGGAGACCTGAGCAACAAGATTCTGAAGATCACTGATTTTGGCCTGGCTCGGGAATGGCACCGAACCACCAAGATGAGTGCGGCAGGGACGTATGCTTGGATGGCACCCGAAGTCATCCGGGCCTCCATGTTTTCCAAAGGCAGTGATGTGTGGAGGTAAGGTCCAGGGGGGCAGGGACAGCATTTCCTAGGTCCATCTTGGTGGCACACACATTTCAAGACTTGGAGAATTGAGGTTACCTAGGATCCCAGGCACCTGAAGTAGGTCTAAGTGACCTCCCCCAAGAGTCATCTATGCCAATTCCCATATTGCCAGGGGACAGTTTCTAATGCTTTCATCTACCAAAAAAATCCCTGAAGTGCTATACGCAGGCCACTTTTTGCTGGTGATTGCTCCCTAGGAAAGGCCAGTAGATTCCAGGGGCAACATGTACTCCCATCTCTACGCTGTAAGATGGGAAGGACACTCGGTCCTTCTCGGAGAGCTTCGTGAGGATCAGTCTGGCTTGCTCAGCAATGCTAGGCTTTCGTGGCTGTTACTGCTGAACTTGGGGAGGGGATTAACCCAATGTCCTCACTCTAAAGCTCCTGAGCCAATGAATGTTCTTTGTGCAATCTCGTTTTTCTTGATGGCCTAAAAATTACCTTTTCCAGTTATCTAGTTCATCTTTTAGTCAAGGCTCTATCTGTTGACATTGATCCAGAAATCAGAAAAAAATGGGTCCCAAATATGTGCCCAGAACTGCAAAGCCGCAGACTAGAAATGACCAGCCATCCTCCTAGTAAATGTGAGCCCAAAAGGTTGCAAGGAAATAGATCTAAAATTTTTCCCAGCTGAGGAAGGATGAGCAACTACCTAGTATATGTTGTCATGGCTGTGGGACAGTAGCATCACCTTAGTATACAAAAGAAAGGACTGTAGTTTATCATTATATATCAGTCCATGGAGTTATTGTCCTGATGTGTTGTAAAGTGAGCTGTGTATGTGTGTGTGTGTGTGTGTGTGTGTGTGTGTGCACGTTTATTTTAAATAATAGCTTTATTGAGCTATTATTCACATACCGTAAAGCTAATCCTTTGTACACTTTAGAATGTATAAGTTGGCTGGATACAGTGGCTCATGCCTGTAATCCCAGGACTTTGGGAGGGTAAGGTGGAAAGAACTCTGGGGCTTGGGAGTTTGGGACCAGCCTGGGCAACATAGCGAGACCCCCATCTCTACAAAAAGTTTAAAAAGTATCCAGGTGTGGTGGCATGCACCTGTAGTCCCAGCTACGTGGGAGGCTGAGATGGGAGGATTACTTGAGCCTGAGAGGTTGAGGCTACAGTGAGCTGTGATTGCACCACTGCACTTCAGCCTGGGTGACAGAGAGAGACCCTGTCTCAAGAAGTAAATAAGCATGTAAGTCAGTGGTTTTTAGTATATTTAAAAGGTGTGTATGGGTCACCATTGTTATTAGTTTCCTAGGGCTGCTGTAGCAAATTACTAAACCTAGTGGCTTAAAGCAACAGAAGTGCGTGCTTTTATAGTTCCTGAGGCCAGAAGCCTGAAAGTGATGTGGGCAGGGCCACACCCTCCAGAGACTCTAGTGAAGATAATGACTCAAATAAGGATTCTGGGTATTGGGACATAGATATAGCTTTTTAGGGCCACCATTCAGCCCATTACAACCACTATCTATTTCCAGAACTTTATTTTTATTTATTTATTTTTTTGAGATGGAGTCTTACTCTGTTGCCCAGGCTGGAGTGCAGTGGCATGATCTCAGCCCACTGCCACCTCTGCCTCCCGGGTTCAAGTGATTCTCCTGCCTCAGCCTCCCAAGTAGCTGGGATTATAGGCGTGCACCACACCTGGCTAATTTTTATATTTTTAGTAGAGACGGGATTTCACCATGTTGACCAGGCTGGTCTTGAACTGATCCAAAGCAATCTGCCCACCTCGGCCTCTTAAGGGGCTGGGATCATAGGCATGAACCACACCATGCCCGGCCAATTTCCAGAACATTTTTATCATCCAAAAAAGAAGCTCCATGTCTATTATCAGTCCTTCCCTAATCCTTCCCCCTTCTACTCCCTAGCAAACACTAATTTCCTTTCTGTCTTTATGAATTTGCCTGTTCTGGATGTTTCACATAAATGGAATCATACCATTTGTGGTCTTTTGTGACTAGGCTTCTTTCATTTAGCATAATGTTTTCAAGATTCATCCATGTTGTAATACAAAATTAGCTAGGCGTGGTGGCGCATGCCTGTAATCCCAGCTACTCGGGAGACTGAGGCAGGAGAATCGCTTGAACCCAGGAGGCAGAGGTTGCAGTGAGCCAGGATTGTGCCATTGCACTCCAGCCTGGGAAACGAGTGAAACTCCGTCTCAAAAAAAAAAAAAAGATTCATCCATGTTGTAACTTATCTCAGAATTTCATTCCTTTTTAAGGCTTAATAATATTCCATTGTATGGATAGACCACATTTGTTTATCCATTTATCAGTTGATGGGCATTTGGGTTGTTTTTGCTTTTTGGCTGTTATAAATAATGCTGCTATGGACACTTGTGTACAACACAAGCTTTTGTGTAAACATATTTTTTTCAGTTTTCTTGGGTCTATCCCTAGGAGTGGAATTGCTGAATCATGTAACAGTTCTATGTTTAACTTTTTGAGGAACCACCAAACTTTTTCATCATAGCTATACCATTTTATTATATTCCCGTTAGCAATGTATGAATGTTCCAATTTCACCACATCTTTTCAATACTTGTTATTGCCTTTTTTTAAAAAAAAAGTTATTATTATGTCTATCCTTGTGGATATGAAATAGTATTTTGTTGTGATTTTGATTTGCATTTCACTAAATGACTTATGATGTTGAGTATCTTTTCATGTAATTATTGGCCAATTATATCTCTGAACCTGAAGAAATATCTATTCAAATCCTTTGCCAATTTAAAAATTAGAGTATTTGTCTTTTTATTGTTGAGCTGAAAGAGTCCTTTCTATTCTCTCATCAGATATATGATTAGCAAATTTTTTTTTCCATTCTGTAGATTGTTTTTCCACTTTCTTAAGGCTGTTCTTTGAAACAGTGTTTTTAATTTTGATGATGTCTAGTTTATTTTATCATCTGTGGATTGTGCTTTTGGTGTCATATCTAAAAAACATTGCCTAGTCCAAAGTCATGAAGACTTACACTCCTATATTTTTTTCTAAGAGTTTTATAATCTTAGCTCTTACTTTTATGTCTCTGATCCATTTTGACTTAATTTTTGTATGTGGTATGAGGTAGGGGTCCAACTTTATTATTTTTCATGTGGCTATTCAGTTATCCTGGCCCCATTTATTGAAAAGACCATTTTTTCCCATCGAATTATTTGGTCACTTTTATCAAATGTCAATTTACCAGAAATATAAAGGTTTATTTCTAGATTCTCAGTTCTACTCCATTAATCTATATCTGTCCTTATGCCAATACCACCCTTTCTTAATTAGTATGACTTTGTGGTAAGTTTTGAAATTAGGAAATGTGATTCCAATTTTGTTCTTCTCTTTGAAGATTGTTTTGGCCATTCTGAGTCCTTTGCATTTAATGAATCTTAGGGTAATTTTGTTAATTTATACAAAATAGATAGCTGGGATTTTGATAGGAATTGCATCAAATCTGTAGCTTTGTAGATTATTTACACCCTTTTTTTTTTTTTTTTTCGGACAGGGTCTCAATTGCTTGAGCTGGAGTGCAGTGGTGTAATCATGGCTTACTACAGCCTTGACCTCCTGGGCTCAGGTGATCCTCTTTCCTCAGCCTCCTAAGTGGCTGGAGCTACAGGCATGCTCCACTTTTTCTATTTTTTTTGTAGAGACAGGGTTTCACCATGTTGCCCAGGCTAGTCTTGAACTCCTGAGCTCAAGCTGTTCACCTGCCTTGGTCTCCCAAAGTGCTAGGATTAGAGATGTGAGCCACTGCGCCTGGCCCTATTGACATCTTAATAAGTCTTCCAATTCATGATCATGGGATATCTTTCCATTTATTTAGACCTCCTTTAACTTCTTTCAGTGATGTTTTGTAGCATCTGTATATTGAACCTCATTTTACCATGCATTAATTACAGGGTAAAGTAGCTAATGAGAAGAAATGAGTTTAACTTTCCTTAAAATATCTGACCTGATCTCATTAAGTTGAGTTGTATACTGATATTCAACTATTTTTGATATATAAAATCAGCAATTTCATGTTTCAGTTTAACACTTTTATTGCTTGACCATATGCTAATGAGATTAATACATCAATTAAGCTAAGCTGCTATTACAAAGAGGCATACAGATATGGAGGCTTAGATAGGATAGAAGCATATTCTCTTTCAAAAACTAGCTAAATAGCCCAGGCTAGCAGGGCAACTGTGCCCCATGAGATCGTTTAGGAACCTAGGTTCTTTTAGATTCCCTCAGTGCATTGACCTTGACCGAATGGTTAAATTGGGTGACTGTTATGTGTGTATTACAATTTTCATAAAAGAGGAAGGAGAACTTACTCATGGCAAGCGCAGTTTATCTTTAATTTGGAAACTATCCAGAAGTTGTACACATCTCTGCACACCCAATTGCCTGCACTTGGTTATGTGGGCACACCTGGCTCCAAGGGAGGCAGAAAAATGTACGTTCTAGCTGGACAACTGTGTGCCCCACTATGGAAGACAGGAAGGGTGGATTTGAGGGGACAAGCAGCCACTTGTCACACTCAACTCTCTCTTGCCTTTTTTAATGGAAAACCATGATTTCTCAGTAACATGATTGTTTTCTACCTCCAGTATTCCCACTAGGTTTCTTCTCCCAGCCTAACCCTGAAATTGCTCAGGTTTTACTGTCACACACTCCAGAGGTTTCTGCTGGTGACGATTTGGACAGAGTTGTGTCATGTATCCAAGTACCTTCGTACCTTCCCAGTGGGAAGGGAAAGCACAAATGCCGCATGTAGAGTCTTCTCAGGATGACAGAAATTGTAGACAGGGAAAGACAAGGCCATTGCAGAGCTTTTTTCTCCACCGAAAGAACAAGGGCAGGACCTTTCAACTTTTACCCTAAGTATCCTTGTTGTAAGACTAACCTCTAGGTCTTGCCCTATAACCATGATCCTAAAAGCAGGCTTGAAGGAAGAGCCTCTGGTGAGAGGCATCTGATGAAATTATTCTACTCTCTAGAGGAAATCACTTGGAGGTAAACCTCAAATCAGAAGCACTTTGGATGATGTGTCTTGGATATTGTCACATGGTCTGCCAGCAGGTCTCTAGTTGCTCTAGTCTAGACTTGTTCCCAGGACTTAAGCCTCCTGACCCAGTTTGGTTGATGATTGTGGTTTGAAAACATAATTCACCCTGCTCCCTTTCAGCTGTCTTAGCTTCTATGCTGCAGGATTTCCTTCAAAGCACAATTTATAACCCATTAAATGGGCCTTTCATTCCTTCTTCCTCAGGCTTACCCATCTAAGTAGCTCCAAATGGTCTCTCACCTTTAGCAGAGGAAAATGTGTGCCCACTGCTGTACATACAGCAATGCTTGTACACTGGTAACAGTTGTTACCACCTACAAATGCTTAAGGGCTAGGGTCTGTGGTAAATGTTATACATCTTCTATAGTCTTCACAAGAATTCCCCAAAGTAGGGATCATCATTTCCATTTTACAGATGAGGTAACTGGGCTCAGACAATTGAAGTCACATGCCTAAGTTCACCCAGGTGGCAGACATAAAGCTATGATTAGAACTAGATATGTGTGTAGTGACAATCTGTGCTTGTAGTTATGCCACCATCTGTATGGTCCTGTTCCTGCACTTAAGGCAGCCTCTTCTGAATGATCAGCCCACCGTGCGTGCCTAGGGCCCAGCAGGGTGTCTCAGGGAGGGCCAGGGCATGCCTAGGAACTTGGTACAAAGCTGTTTCCCAAACTGACTTGTAACTCACTGACTCATTCAAGAAGTGTCTGTGGAATGCTTGCCCTATGCCAGGTACTGGCTGAGTCTGAGTGCCCCACACCTCAACCCTCCTGGAACTCATCCAGAGCTGGGGGCCTCTGCGCCTCTGCTATTCCAGGTGCCCAGGGCCATCTGGTTTGTCTTCCTGCTCTTTGAGTGTGCTTCTAAAGTTCTCCTGCAAATGTTGTGATGGAGGGTGAGATGATAAAGGGCTGGATCCTCAATTGTGTAAGTTTCCCAGTCTGCTTGGATTGGGGACTGCCTCAAGAAGGCTATTGCTGAAATTGTTCCCTTTCTTTGCGCTGTGTGGGTAGAGCAGTGGTTACTGTCAGAGGGCATCGTCCCACAAGGCCTTCTTGCCTGTTGGTTGTGGGATGAGGTGGAGGCATTGTCTTAATCATTTTAAGTTTAAAAAATTACAATAGTGGCTGGGCACGGTGGCTTACACCTGTAATCTCAGCACTTTGGGAGGCTGAGGCGGGCAGATCACAAGGTCAGGAGATCGAGACCATCCTGGCTAACATGGTGAAACCCCATCTCTACTAAAAATACAAAAAATTAGCCGGGCATGGTGCTGGGTGCCTGTAGTCCCAGCTACTCCTGAGGCTGAGGCGGGAGAATGGTGTGAACCCGGGAGGTGGAGCTTGCAGTGAGCTGAGATCGCACCACTGCACTCCAGCCTGGGCGACAGAGCAAGACTCTGTCTCAAAATTACAATAGCAAAACGTTTTCTGTAGAAAAAATTTGAAAATATGGGTAAACAAGAAAGAAAAGATAGGGAAAGAAAATCACCCTGAACCCACTTATAGAGATAATGCGTATTGATATTTGGGTGTGTTTACTCCTATTCATGTGCTCATCTGCCTATCCCTAGTGGGATCTTTCTGTTTTAAAAGTTGCTTTTTGAATGTAATATAGCATGAACACATAACCACATTAATAAATATGTTGTTATGTCAATAAGTTTATCAATGTATATATTACATATATGTTAATAAATACATCATCATTTTGAATGAGGGTTCAGTTAATAAGAAGAAGAATTATATGCTACTTTCAATTTACAAAGTGCTTTCACATATATTAGTTCAATTATCTTTGTCAAAGATTATTAAACAGTCAGTGTGGTTCCTGGAATGTGGAATCATAGATAATTACCAAGTGCAAGACATTCCCCAGCCCACCTCATTCAAGGGAGACTGGTCACCTCCTTTCAGAGCATGGACCCTGACCTGACAGTCTAGAGATGGTGCAGGTTACTACAAAATAGAGCTCTGGCCCAGCACAGGCATGGAGTTGCTGTGCCTTTTGTCAAGAAAGGTAGCTGTCCACTTTTCCTCACTTTGAAAAAAAAATCAAACACCCCTCCTCCACCTCTGATCCTAGGAAATGGTTGAAGGGATTACCAAGCCTCGGGAGGTGGTTAATTATTAACTCAAGAGTAAATTTTGTGAGGGTTGGGTTAGGCAGTGAGGACTTTTAGGAAATTACTGGCAGCACTGTGGGAGCTGGTGGGTCTGTGTTGCGGGGAGGTACTCAGAGGCAGTGACTTAGCTGAACGAGTTCTTCCAGGCTGCTTGCAAATGGTCATCAAAGGACTTGTTGACCTTTTAACCTTGGGAGGGCAACTAAGTTGACTAAACCTGAGGTAAATCACATCAACTTCTACTGCCCGCCTTTCCCTGAGCTCAGATCCACGTAAACTTGTATTTCTCTTGAATTTCTCCAGTCTTTTTTCCCACCAACAGAATACCAAGTCTTCATTTATATCACCCACCTTCCATTGTAAACATAAAGCGGGATGTTGGCAGAGGAAAACTAGTTTAGTCAGCCCCAGAAAGACTTCTTCTCTGAATGCCAGTGTCCCTCAGCAAAGCTCTCACCAACACTGTAGCTCTACATAAGCCTCCTCAGACACAATCTCATTTCAGGCCCTTTTGGAGAAACCACAGGTCTACTAGCCATAGATGGTAATTTCTGGATGAGGGTTAGTTGTTGGTGTTAGTGATTCCTTGTAACTCTTCTGTAAGGTCGGTATTGCTGTCTTTGCTGTAGGGATGAGGAAACTGAGGTTTGGAGAGGTGAACTTGCTTCCTAAAGGCACATAGCTGTTAAGTGATAAAACAGGCATTTGACCCAAGTCTGTCTAAATCTTTCTCTGGTAGCATTCTGCCTACTTGGGCAGTAGTTCTCACATTCCTTTTAGCTGTAGAACCCCTGAAGTGGGATAGAATGCAGACAAACAAAGAAACAAGCCAGGTAAGAGCAGAGCTGCCCTGACTGGAGCTAATGGGGCCAGTCCCAGTCCCATAACCCCCCACCCCTGCCTCACCCCCGACATGCTTCCAGGCGGTCTGAGACACCTTCACAGGACACTGAGAGCTTAGTGTGAAAACTGTCACAGAAGGGATGCAGGGACACAAACAGAACATATTTGGATCTTTGAAACACTCTATGATCTTTCCAGGTAGTTAGGGCCCAGATACCGTCTGTCTTTGTCTGGTTGGGAGAAAGGGGTTCTGTGGGACCTTTGGTTTTTATTCTCCAGGATGGAGGTGGGCATTTATTCCAAGAGCAAGCAATGGAGGATAACAGTGGCTTTGACCTAGGAATCTGGTTGGCAATGCTGAGAGTTCCTGGAGGTCACTTGGTAGAAGCTCCCCAGCATGACCACTACCTGGATAAGTCACATGAAAGGTTTGTCAGGAAGTGTAATAGTGCAATTCTTGATGATGTTTGGGTTTTCCTCTAGAGGACCCAGGGCAGCCTGCAGGACTGTCTGACCATGCGCTCACTCCCATACCCACAGACCCACTCACTCACATATCTATGAGTGCTTCCTGTGTACCAGAGCTTGGGCTAGGTCCTGAGAATGCAAAGATTAAAAACATTTCTCCCTGCTCTTTAGGAGCCTATAGGCTAGCAGACAAACAGCTACAATACATGGCAGCCCAAATGGGCTGAGTAACATCTGGGGATGTCAAGAAGGCATCGTAAAGTATCCAATGCTATTCCCATAAGCCTCCAAACTAAAATCCATCTCCTGTCTAGACGAGTCAAGACCAACTGGCTACCAGGCTTTTTGTTTTTTCCTGGCAAGATGCATAAAGAAAATGATAGTATTTGAAGGCCTCACTGGGGTAAAGCCGTCATCTGATGAATGAATAAATGGTGGGACATTTGAGTTGGATCTTGAAAGATGATTAGCATTTACCAAGCAAAGAAATGGTAGAAGGCATTCTAGGGGGAATAAATTGAGAACTGGTCTGGGCCCACCATGATGTACTCTGTGTATGCCCTTAGTAATATGCTCCTAAACATGTCTAAAACTTGCTTTCCTTGTGTGCAAAATGTTGATAATACCTATCAGAATTGTTGTAGAGATTCACAGTGATGTTTGTAAAGTGTCTTAGTGGTCTTCATATATAAGGTTTCATGATAAATAGCTACTGGGTTTATTATTATTATTGATTACTTTGAGACAGAGTCTTGCTCTGTCACCCAGGCTAGAGTGCAGTGGCGTGATCTTGGCTTACTGCAACCTTCGCCTCCTAGATTCAAGTGATCATCCTGCCTCAGCCTCCCAAGTAGCTGGGATTACAGGCATGCACCACCACACCTGGCTAATTTTTGTATTTTTAGTAGAGATGGAGTTCCACCATGTTGGCCAGGCTGGTCTTGAACTCCTGACCTCAAGTGATCTGCCTGCTTCCGCCTCCCAAAGGCTGAATTTACAGTCTGGGATTACAGATGTGAGCCACCATGCCTGGCCTATTATTATTTTTTAAATTAATATGACCTTTGTTGCTGGTTGCAAAACTTATTGTTGAATTTGGTGTTGAAAACATAAGGAGAGCCATTCTTCTAACTATTCATAGCCTTATGGTTTCTTGTCCTGACTTATTCCTGGAAGGACTGAGTGCTGTGTGATTGTGTCTGGTTCTGATCGTGAATTCACAGAATAATTCTTCCATTAAGCTTTGTACTCCACATTCACTGACTCACAGGACACGAGAAAAGAAATTCTTTATGTGGACTTGAAAGATAGGGAGGGCACACTGAAGTTCTCACAGCTGATGCGCTGCTCTGTTCTACCGATGTGGTCTACCCTTGTGAAACTTTTCCATTTGAATTAGAGATCTCCGTTAAGAACCCACTCACGCTGATCTGGGGGCAGAAATCTATTCAACCTAGTGGGCATTTAAAGAAATCTTTTATAGGAACAAAATCTGCTTTGAGTGGTTAGCACTCTGCTTTTTGTAAAGCTAAAAAGAAAATCTGTTAATCCTAGCACTTTGGGGGAAAAAATGTATCTGTGACAAAAGCTGAAGTTTTCTTAAAACAGAAAAAAAATTATACTTGGGAGGCTGCCTCTTCTCCCAGTTTATTTCATTAATAATAATGATAACAGGCCAGGTGTGGTGGCTCACGCCTATAATCTCAGCACTTTGAGAGGCCGAGGCGGGAGGATCACAGGAGGTCAGGAGTTTGAGAGACCAGCCTGGCCAGTGTGGTGAAACCCTGTCTCTACTAAAAATACAAAAATTAGCCGGGCGTGGTGGTGCATGCCTGTAATCCCAGCTACTCGGCAGGTGGAGGCAGGAGAATCTCTTGAACCCAGGAGATGGAGGTTGCAGTGAGCCGAGATCACGCCACTGCACTCCAGCCTGAGCAACCGAGCGAAACTCCATCCCAAAACAAACAAACAAACAAACAAAAAACAATAATGATAGTGAAAGAGCTATGGCCATTGGGCACTTATTTAAACACTATAGTAGCTCATTTAATTCAACAATAGCCTTGCCAGACTGATAGTGTTATTCGTGCATTACAGATGAGGAATTAGAGGCTTAAAGAGGTGTAGTGCCTTGCCCAAGGTCATATAGCTAAGGAATTATGGGAGAAAACTTGAAAACCAAGTATGCTTGACTCCAGAGATTTTGCTTTTAGCTAGTAGGCTTTATGGTTTCCCTTTTATATCACATTAGTATTTCTGTTTCATTAGTCTCACTATCTGTTGGGGAGAATGTGGGATGCTCAGAAAAGACTCGAGCTATTGCAGTGAAGTTGTACCTGAAGTTTATTACATGGCTTCTGTCTTCTTCCTCTCCTTAGCTATGGGGTGCTACTTTGGGAGTTGCTGACTGGTGAGGTGCCCTTTCGAGGCATTGATGGCTTAGCAGTCGCTTATGGAGTGGCCATGAACAAACTCGCCCTTCCTATTCCTTCTACGTGCCCAGAACCTTTTGCCAAACTCATGGAAGGTAAGTAAGCCCTGGCCTGAACCAAACTGGAGACACTTTGCCTCTTGTAAGCACTGGGTAGAGTTTGGCCAATTCTGTGAGATCAGTTACTGAAAGAGGAGATAAAGTTTCAGTCACCTAAGGAGGAATCCTCTGGGCAACTGGAAAGGCTTCTTCAAGATGACATCCACACCCTGCTGCAAGCAGTCATATCTCCAGGGACTGTAGAAGTGAAATTAGTAACAAAAGCCTGCTATCCGGCACTTCAGCATATTATCATTTAATGCAAAATCAGAAAGTACAGCAACTTTTATGTCAGGACCTCTGAATACCTTAAGAGACGTGAAGAACATCTTAGGAGAAAGAACTCTAAAAGTCATCTAGTCAAACCCCATAATTTTGTAAGTAAGGAATCTAAAGCTAAGCGAAGTTGAGTGGATAGGTGGCCACCTCATTAGAGAGTGGCTGAGCTGGGATTAGGTAGAATTCGATTTCCCTGACTCCCACTAGAATGCTTTTCATCCTCGCCTCCTCATCATCCCATTGTGGGTGGGGGAAGGCTAATTCATTTATTTATGGGAAACTGAAGCCCAGGGCATAATTCCCCATTGTCTGTTCTTGAATCAGGTAGTAACATGGTAAATTGTGTTGTGGTGGTGCTTTGTACAAGAAAACTCTTTGGGCTCGCTTTTCTTATCCTTAATTAACAGCCAGAATGGAATGAGTACAGAACTGCTGCATTTCATTTCCATTTTCACTCTTTATGGTTGTAATGGTGGACAGTTTGCTTTACTTCCTGAGCCTTATTTGAGGTTACCTAAATTCTGATCTCTGTTTCTGGAAGAAGTAAGAGGTAGTTTTCTGGGAAGTGAGGCCATGTAATAGCCTAAGTCTTACATGTTTGCTTCTGTCCATTCATGCTTTCTGAGTATTCACATGTTCTATTCAGACTGCTGGAATCCTGATCCCCACTCACGACCATCTTTCACGAATATCCTGGACCAGCTAACCACCATAGAGGAGTCTGGTTTCTTTGAAATGCCCAAGGACTCCTTCCACTGCCTGCAGGACAACTGGAAACACGAGATTCAGGAGATGTTTGACCAACTCAGGGCCAAAGAAAAGGTAAACAAAACAAAAAAAACAACAAAAAAACGAACGAAAAGAAAAAAGGCATGCATTGAATTGGTAGACCTCACTCACAGGGACCTCTGGACCGAGTCTGACTGACCATCTTGATTCTAGCATGCCCACCTTCCAGCTTGGTATCTACTTAATTGTCCAAACCAGAGAAGAATGCAGTTGGGCAAAATCCCAGTGCTTGGATTACAGGCCTTTTTTCTTTTCTCACAGTGGAATGTCTCACCCTGCCAGCTGGAAATATGAGAAGTTCTGGAAATGTTTCTTGATTCTACAATAGACTTCTAGAAGAAGGTTAATTTGATATAGGGATACTTCAACCTTGAGGATAGTTATCAGAACATCCTTCCCATGTCTTTTGACATCAGAATCAGAAATAGAATATGGGCAAAAAATAACATGGGTCTGAAATTGTGTGGCATTTTTCATGTTTTTATGAAAAGTATTTCAAGCCCAAACCAACCAGGGAGTTCAGAGACTCCTAGCCTACCAGAGATCTGCTTTTTTGTTTTGGTGGCCATTCCCTAAATGGCCCCTTTCTGTTCCCTCAGTGTGTCCCTAGCAGTCAGTGTACACACAGGTGAAGCCAGTCACATGCAACTATATTGCTTATATAGGGGCAGGACTAAATCTAAGGGATGTAGCTAGGGGCAAGAGAGAAGTCTTTATAGATTTGGTTAATTTCTTTTACCATTTTTTTTTTTTTTTTGAGACAGTCTCGCTCTGTCGCCCAGGCTGAAGTGCAGTGGCACGATCTCAGCTCACTGCAGGCTCTGCCTCTGGGTTCACGCCATTCTCCTGCCTCAGCCTCCCGAGTAGCTGGGACTACAGGCGCCCGCCACCTCGCCCGGCTAATTTCTTGTATTTTTAGTTGAGATGGGGTTTCACCGTGTTAGCCAGAATGCTCTCGATCTCCTGACCTCGTGATCCGCCCACCTCGGCCTCCCAAAGGGCTGGGATTACAGGCCTTTTTTCTTTTCTCACTCTGCACTATGGGAATTTGGGAAGTTAATAGCCATGTGATAATAATGATAGCTAAAATTGTTTATGGCTTTATGGTTTCCCACTTTTTCCACTTGAAAAATTTGATGAGACCTTTTTGTCTGTTTTATCCAGGAGTCCTATGGCTCCTGCCATCAGTATGTAGGCCAGGTGTTATTATTGTTTCCATCTCAGAGCTGAGGGTCAGCAACTTGCCTGAAGTAACAGAGTTAGTAAGTGGGGAAGCAGAATCTTGAATGTGGGTCTTCTGATTCCAAAAACCGATATTCGTTGTAATATTATATTAGTCTATTCTCATGCTGCTAATAAAGACATACCCAACACTGGTTAATTTATAAAGGAAAAAGGTTTAATCAACTCACAGTTGCACAGGGCTGGAGAGGCCTCAGGAAACTTATAATCATGGTAGCAAACAGGTCCTTCTTCACATGGTGGCAGGAAGAAGAAATAAGTGCCCAGCAAAGGGAGAAGCCCCTTGTAAAACCATCAGATCTCGTGAGAACTAACTCACTATTACGAGAACAGGATGAGGGAACCACCCCCATGATTCAATTATCTCCACTTGGTCCCTCCCATGACCCATGGGGATTATGGAAACTACAATTCAAGATGAGATTTAGGTGAAGATACAGTCAAACCATATCAAGTGTCATTTTTATTCTACACAAATGACTTACAAATAATTTCTGGAGCTGATTTGAAGAATTAAACTCTTTTTATGGAACATAGCAATTCTGAACACAGTACTGTTTGCCAAGTCAATGAGCATTCTCTAGAAGAATGGAGTGAGCTTACAATGACTCTTTAGGGTCCCTGGTGGGTGGACTTGCACTGGCTGTTGAGCAGAATGATTACAAAAGACTGTTCCTCTCACTAAATAGTATTCCAGCTAGAAGAATCCCAAGAGTTGCTGGCCTTTTGTTTTTTTGATTGCTGCATCACTGACCCTTGGTTACCTTTCTTTTAATTGATGAAATTATAAGGGTACCAGCCAGTAAGAAAAATGAAGTTTGGATTTTGTCAGTAAGTAGTTACTAGGAAGTCAAACTCATAATAGCTAACATTTGTAGAGCATGTGCTATGTGCCATGCTTTCTTATACTTTCTATGAATTATCTTATTTAATGAGATAATAATTGTCTGTGTCAATGATGTCAGTGCTATTAACTCCATATTACATGTGATGCCCTTATTAACTTGTCCAAGACCACACAGTTAATGATGGTGAAGCTGGGACCTGAACAGGCAGTTTGTTCCAGAGTCCTTTCTCTTAGCCACCATGCTATGATGCCTCCCTGTTATAAGGCTTGTTGTTTGGTAAGTGAGAGTAAGATGTGCTTTCTCTCTGGAGAGATTCTTCTTAACTCATTCTGTATGTGGAAGATGTGATTTGCAAACTGTGCAACACAAATAGGTGTTGCAAAAGTAGGAGATTCAACATGTCTAAGGGTCCTCCAGGTGAATGGTGTCATAGGCATATATTCCACAAGTTTCCTCATTTACCCTATGATTCAGCTAATTCCTCAGGTTGGATCAACCTACTGTTTCTAAGTATTATTGTGAGAATGCATTGGTGTCATCTGGGGTTTGTGTTCCATTAAAGAGAGTGACTTAGAGCCAGACCATCCCTTAGACAAGAGCATGGAGGAGACGAGGGCTTAGGAAGCTTGAAATTAGCTTTGATTTTTAAACTTTTACACTTAACAGCAAAATCAACCAACCAGGAATATTTTTTCTGCATCTTCCATGAATTTTTCTTCTCTTGGTAATGAAAACAAAGTCATAGGACAGAGAAACAAAGGATTTGGAGGGCGCACAACAATTAATTTGAGGTTTATTTCATCAAGGAAGAAGTAGTTCAAGTTCAACTCTCAGGAACTTGTGATAAATCTATGTTCCCATAAAGAAGGATTGCATTCACAATATTGCACTCTATCTCCTATTATTATTTCTCTTCATTCATTTATTGACTCAATAGTTATTCAACCACTGAGTACCTAGGCCTACCACATGCTAGACACTTTTCAATGTGCTAATTCTTTTCTCATTTCTTTTCTATCACTTTTTTTTTTTTTGAGACAGAGTCTTGCTCTGTCACCTAGGCCGGAGTGCAGTGGCATGATCTCGGCTCACTGCAACCTCCACCTCCCGGGTTCAAGCAATTCTCCTGCCTCAGCCTCCCAAGTAGCTGGGATTACAGGTGCACGTCAACATGCCCAGCTGATTCTTATGTTTTTAGTAGAGACAGGGTTTCACTATCATGGCCAGGCTGGTCTCAAATTCCCAATCTCAGGTGATCCGCCTGCCTCGGACTCCCAAAGTGCTGGGATTACAGGCGTGAGACACCATGCCGGCCTTCTTTCTATCACTTTTATGGCTATTTTGACATTCTCCTGGGGATGGAAGACAAGCTGAATGGAGAGTTTATAGCATCAGAATATTGTATTCATTTCTTGATCTCTTTCCTCTCTTCCACTTTTACCTGCTGCTCAGCTTCCCCAATATGGGTTCACATGCTTGTTTTCTAGCTCCAGGTTCCCTTTCTACACTATTTTGTTTTAATCCAGAATGGTTACTTATAGTGAGTATTTCATTAAGAAGTTAGGTTTCGACCACAGAAGTGTAGCTGTGGCTCCTTTACTGAAGAAATATCCTGCTTTTTCAGACATGGCTCTCTCCAGGTTCCACCCCACACCCCACTTTAATCCAAGGCCCAGGGTAACCAGCATTAAGAGTTTAAAATCTAGATTTAAAAATTTTGTAGGCATGCTTTGTTTTCTTTCCTGTTTCCTGATTCTATATCCCCTCCCCTCTTGCCAGGAATTCAGTGCTGGGCTCACTTGTGAACTCATGCGTAAGGATAAAGGGGAGGTAGGGAAGAGGTTCTGCCATCTGATGTGGCTCCTGCTTCCATTCTCAGAGCAGGACAAAAGGGCCTGTTCTTGGGTCACAAGATGCAATTCCAAATGGGACTTTGTCCCAGTTCCACCCTCTAGCTTTCTGGCTTCAGCTCTCCCCCTAGCAGTGTGACTGACTGTCCTTCAGATTTGCAGGGGCACGGTCTGCTCTGGGGTGACATCTCCTGTGCTCATTGAGCAGTTTGTTTCAGGGGAGTGTGATAGAGCAGCAGCCAAATTTGGTTCTAGAGCAAGTGCCTGAAAAAGACCTCAGGAAATGTTCTCTTTTTTCCTTGCTATGCTTTTGTGATTCTTCTAGAGCAAATCATTGTCCTTTAAGATAAGGTGAGAGTTGAAACCACATACCTCAGTGGATTCATTCCTCAAGTGACCATGAAGATTTAGATGACATGCCTCACTTAGCTTTTGAGCAGCCACCCTGGAAACATATTTATATTTTATTGTTAGATGTTACCTGGAGGATGATTTATGTACAGTGGATACATTTTAAGCTGGATTAAGTTGGCTCTGCTTTAAAAATATCTTTTTTTTTATTTTTACTATTTATTTATTTTTAATTATACTCTTAAGTTCTGGGGTACATATGCAGAATGTGCAGTTTTGTTACATACACGTGCCATGGTGGTTAGCTGCACCCATCAACCTGTCACCTACATTAGGTATTTTTCCTAATGCTCTCCCTCCCCTAGCCCCCCACTCCCACAGGGTGTGTGACGTTCCCCTCCCTGTGTCCATGCGTTCTCATTGTTCAACTCCCACTTAGAGTGAGAACATGAGGTGTTTGGTTTTCTGTTCTTGTGTTAGTTTACTGAGAATGATGGTCTCCAGCTTCATCCACGTCCCTGCAAAGACACGAACTCATCCTTTTTTATGGCTGCATAGTATCATGGTATATATGTGCCACATTTTCTTTATCCAGTCTATCACTGATGGACATTTGGGTTGGTTCCAAGTCTTTGCTATTGTGAATAGTGCCGCAATAAACATACGTGTGCATGTGTCTTTATAGTAGAATGATTTATAATCCTTTGGGTATATACCCAGTAATGGGATTGCTGGGTCAAATGGTATTTCTAGTTCTAGATCCTTGAGGAGTTGCCACACTGTCTTCCACAATGGTTGAACTAATTTACACTCCCACCAACAGTGTAAAAGCATTCCTGTTTCTCCACATCCTCTCCAGCATCTTTGTTTTCTGACTTTTTACTGATCACCATTCTAACTAGTGTGAGATGGTATCTCACTGTGGTTTTGATTTGCAATTCTGTAGTGACCAGTGTTGATGAGCTTTCTTTCATATGTTTGTTGGCTGCATAAATGTCTTCTTTTGAGAAGTGTCTGTTCATATCCTTCACCCACTTTTTGATGGGGTTTTTTTTTTTCTTGTAAATTTGTTTAAGTTCTTTGTAGATTCTGGATATTAGCCCTTTGTCAGATGGATAGATTGCAAAGTTTTCTCCCATTCTGTAGGTTGCCTATTCACTCTGATGATAGTTTCTTTTGCTGTGCAGAAGCTCTTTAGTTTAATTAGATCCCATTTGTTAATTTTGGCTTTTGTTGCCATTGCATTTGGTGAAAAAACATCTTTTATATAATAGAAAAAATTTGGCTTGTCGCAGTGACTCACGCCTGTTATCCTAGCACTTTGAGAGGCTGAGGCCGATGGATCACTTGATGCCAGGAGTTTGAGACCAGCCTGGCCAACATGGTAAAACCTAATCTCTACTAAAATACAAAAAAATTAGCTAGGTTTGGTGGCACATGCCTATAATCTCAGCTACTCCGGTGGCTGAGACATGAAAATCACTTGAATCAGGGATGCAGAGGTTGCAGTGGGCTGAGATCGCACCGCTGCACTCCAACGTGGGTGACAGAATGAGTTGCTGTCTCAAAAAATAGAAAGTAAAGTACAACCAAGTCTGTAAATAAATACATGATTATATTTTCTATTCAAACCTATATATATATATATATATATATATAAATATATATAAATCACAGGCAATTTTAATGAAGAAGGAAGGAGCGACTAGAAACTCTTAGCCCCCATTTCTAGGGCTTGACCTATGGCTTTATCTTCTCTGACTGTCCCGTCAGTATGGCTGTTCTGAGCCTTCCTTTCCCCACCATTCAAGGTGGTCTAATGTTCATTTACCAGCTATCGAGTCCTCTCTCTTCACTGAGCATCATAGGAGAGCTCTCCAGGTCACCATAAGCCCTCTGGGAGCTCTCAGGCCTCACCCCAGAGCCCCTCTGCACTGAGCACCCCAGTCTTTTCTCTGATGGTTCTGCCCATCCTGCAGGAACTTCGCACCTGGGAGGAGGAGCTGACGCGGGCTGCACTGCAGCAGAAGAACCAGGAGGAACTGCTGCGGCGTCGGGAGCAGGAGCTGGCCGAGCGGGAGATTGACATCCTGGAACGGGAGCTCAACATCATCATCCACCAGCTGTGCCAGGAGAAGCCCCGGGTGAAGAAACGCAAGGGCAAGTTCAGGAAGAGCCGGCTGAAGCTCAAGGATGGCAACCGCATCAGCCTCCCTTCTGGTCAGTGGCCGGGGACTGGCTGGGAAGTGGGAGCAGGGCAAAGAACTCGTGTGGCAGAGGGTTTGAGGGAGTCCGGGACTGAGCTTGGAAACATGACACCCTGGGGCTCAAACTCCAGCCTGTTTTAAATGGGCCATTCTGTTCACTGGAAAGACTGGCATGTTGAAAATCTACCCTACTCCAGGGAAATTGTTGCATGTGAGTGAACACAGAATATGAAGTGAGGACAACCCGGCAAGGTCCAGGCTGCTAGAAGCCTGGTGGCTCACAGGGGCACATCTCACTTTAGGCAAACCTGGAGAAGGAAGCATGAAGTTGGGGGAAAACATTCCAGGGTGTGCATGTGTGAGACACGAGAAGTTTTGGCTCTGCAAAATAACTTGTCTCAAGGTTTCTTTTTTTTGAGACAGAGTTTTGCTTTTGTTGCCCAGGCTGGAGTGCAATGACAAGATCTTGGCTCACTGCAACCTCCACCTCCCCGGTTCAAGTGATTCTGCTGCCCCAGGCCCCCGAGCAGCTGGGATTACAGGCGCATGCCACCACGCCCAGCTGATTTTTGTATTTTTAGTAGAGACAGGGTTTCACCCTCAAGTGATCCACCCACCTTGGCCTCCCAAAGTGCTGGGATTACAGTTGTGAGCCACCACTCCTGGCTGACGTTTTTTTAATTAGTCCCCTGAGTGCAGTTGAGACTGGGTTTAATGTATGAGAATTTACATGATAAGATTTACATGTGACCTTTCAGACACACACATCAGTTGAATAAACATGCATTTGTTGTACTGCAGCCTTGGGGAAAATATAAAGAAATATGAAACTATTAATTAGAATCTTTGTGGTGTGTAATATATCCATGGAGGGAGCCGAATGCTAAAATGTGTGTTGATGTAGATAAAGATATTCACTGTGTTCTAAGTCTATGAGGCCCTAGAAAGCAGGCTTATTAGAAGTGTAAGGAACAGGCCAGGTGCAATGGCTCATGCCTATAATCCCAGCACTTTGGGAGGCCGAGGCGGGTGGATCATCTGAGGTCAGGAGTTCGAGACCAGCCTGACCAACATGCAGATACCCCGTCTCTATTAAAAATACAAAATTAGCCGGGCATGGTGGTACATGCCTGTAATCCCAGCTACTCAAGAGGCTGAGGCAGGAGAATTGCTTGAACCTGGGAGGCGGAGGTTGCAGTAAGCGGAGATTGCGCCCTTGTACTCCAGCCTAGGCAACAAGAGTGAAACTCCATCTCAAAAAAAAAAAGTGTAAGGAACAAAGAAAGAATGGTCTAATGGGGCAGGAGTAGATGATGTTAAGCACTAAAATGGTGGCTTAATTAAGTACAGATAAGGGAACTCATTCCATGCAGTTGAGTGAATATGTTTATGAGCCGTGTTTGCTGGTCCCCTTGCTGCACATTTGTTTTTCCTTTTCAGACAGCATGGACTCTTTAAGCACCCTTTGAGCATCTAGCATGTGTCAGCATATTGTTGCATGTCAGGATGCAGATAGAAAAGCTATAGTTCCCACCTGCAGGGAGATCACAGTCTAATGGGGAGACATAGGTGCAAGCAGCAGCTGTTTATTTTACCTCTTTGATAGATGAGGAGACTGAAACTCAGAAATTCAGACCTGTAAGTTTTACATTCTTTATGCTGTACTGTAACTTCCTTTGGAATGTGTCCGAATTGGAGCCATTTGCTCCATCTCCCTCACTGCCCTAGGTTCCCACAAGGGCTAGTCATTGATACCCTGCTGTGCCTGCACTTAGTGAGAAGAATCAGTGTCCCTGCTTCAGTCCCTGAGAAAAGAGGACCAAATCTATCTGATAATAGATTATGTGAAACCAATAATTTTAAGTTAAATTTCCTAGAATAATCAACAACATCTCATGAGCTAAACAGCTATTCTTAATACATAACTGCTTGAACTATATTCATTATATAGACAGCTTTATGAAGCTCACAGATGAAGTTCACTTGCACAGTGAATTTTCCATCTTTTTATACGTTCATCTCCCCATGTCCCTTGGGAAAAAGAGATGATTCTAAAAGAGAACATTTCCCAGGTGAACAAAGAGCTTTTCAGGAAACTGGGGCCTGTCCCTCAAGGATGCTGAGGAATGTCATATTTCTTATATGAATTTAATTATGGGAAATGTTAATGCATACACGTGTTTGTCTTTCCCCAAGCAGATTTCCAGCACAAGTTCACGGTGCAGGCCTCCCCTACCATGGATAAAAGGAAGAGTCTTATCAACAGCCGCTCCAGTCCTCCTGCAAGCCCCACCATCATTCCTCGCCTTCGAGCCATCCAGTGTGAGACTGTTTCCCAAATTAGCTGGGGCCAGAACACACAGGGGCACCTGTCCCCTGCTCTGTCCAGCCACCGACTGGTCCAGGCTTGCTCCATCCATAACTTCTGCCACCTCTCCTCGACAATGTGTATATACATGCACATATGTACGCAAACCCTTAGCCCTCTCCCTTGTCTCTCTCCATTAACTTTACTACTGCCCCCTCTACCTTTTAGTCACATATCAGCAAAGGGATTTGTGGGTACTAATGGGATCTTTAGTGGTTTGCAAAGCAATTTAGAAACTGGTGTGTGATGTGGATACAGGTTGCTACCTGGCCTGAGAACCTAACACACTCTTTGCCATATTTGGGGCATCATTGTTTTTCTTTAGTCCACACTTCCCAAGGAAGGGTTTTTTTTTCAAAGTATAGGTCCTAAGGAAACTTGCCATATACTTTATAATAAGCCAAATCTGGACCAATTTTATCTTTGCTACAGTATTTGCTTAAAAAAAATACTCACACATACATGTAAGTGTGTGTGTGTGTGTGTGTGTGTGAACATACACCTATATGTGAATGAATTAGTTTCCCTGGTTTAAAGACAGATTTTATTTAAAAATCCAAGATTTCGGCTGGGCATGGTGGCTTATGCCTGTAATCCCAGCACTCTGGGAGGCTGAGGCGGGCAGATCATGAGGTCAGGAGATCGAGACCATCCTGGCCAACATGCTGAAACCCCGCCTCTACTAAAAATACAAAAAAGTTAGCTGGGCATGGTGGCACCCATCTGTAGTCCGAGCTACTTGGGAGACTGAGGCAAGAGAATCGCTTGAATGCAGGAGGCGGAGGTTGCAGTGAGCCAAGATTGCGCCACTGCGTTCCAGCATGGGCGACAGAGTGAGACTCCGTCTCAAAAAAGAAAAATCCAAGATTTCTAGCTTTCCTTGAAAAATGAAATCAAATCAGTAGGTTTCTTTTTTCATGTGGCTACAGTTGGCTGGCACTAATAGCAGCTTCCGTATACTCCATATTTTGCCTCAGCCCCTTCAACTCCTTGTTTTTTGGTAACTAGTTTGCTCGTTTATGATATAAGCACAGTCCCTGGGGCATTTGGGTCTCAACCCTTGCTCCAAGGTATTAATGTCAGAAAAATATTCCTCCTCTCTTATCTGTCTTTCTCTAGGCCTCTTTCTTCCCCTTCTCCCACTCCAGACTTCCTTTTCCATAACCTTGAACTCCTCATTTTCTTCCCAACCCTTTCTTTCCAAGATTCCTGCATTTCCACGCCTTCCTTACCCCTTGTCTTTTTTCCCCCCTTACCTGCCTCCTTATTTGCTCACTACCCAATCCCACCCAACAAAACAGGTAAAGTCAGATCTGTTTGGAACTCTGATGTCTGGCTGGCCTAAGCTCTAGCTTTACATTGGATTTGTGAAAATTGAAGAAGTGTTTCCATGTTTAGTACTTTGAGAGAGCTAAATGATTGGTGGCTGAGAACTCCATTACTTTCCTGGAAGGGTCCACTTGGGCACAGAGTTTTTGATAAGGTCTAACTTCCCTGCAGCTCCAAATGTGTGTGTGTGTGTGGTGGTATAGAGGCTAGTTTGGGGGAGCCCTGTCTGTCCATTTTCTAGATCCTATCCAACCCTTGTGATTCACAGTGACACCAGGTGAAAGCAGCAAAACCTGGGGCAGGAGCTCAGTCGTCCCAAAGGAGGAAGGGGAGGAGGAGGAGAAGAGGGCCCCAAAGAAGAAGGGACGGACGTGGGGGCCAGGGACGCTTGGTCAGAAGGAGCTTGCCTCGGGAGATGAAGGGTAAGTGCCAGATGACATGAAATTCTTTCTCTCTTGAAGATGGATGTACCATTTAAACATAGGATATGAAATAACTTTTTTTCTCTGTCGTGTGTTTGATTGCTTTCTGAGAAATTACAAGCTTCTTGATCTTTACAACAGTTTTTCACCCTCCAAGTTCCTGGAACGTCCTAGAACAGGCATGGAAAACTTTTTCCATAAAGAGCCAGATAATACATATTTTAGGCCTTGTGATTCCTATGGCCCTGTCACAACTCTTGAGCGCCACTGTTGGAACACAGAAGCCTCCAGAGACCATGGACAACATGTAAATGAGCGAGTGTGGCTATGTTCCAGTAAAACCTTATAAAAGCAAGTGGCGGGCAGGGTTTAACCCACCAGTTATAGTTTGCCAACCCCTGAAGGCGTTCTACTCAGAGTAGCAAGTAGCCCAAGCAGTAACCAAATGTAAAAAGTTCTGCCAGGGTGTTCTGCTTATACCTGGCTCTTCTTCCATTTTTAAAGCAGAGGAAAGAGAAGAAAGAGCAGAAGTTAACAGGACTCTCTTGCCTAGAGGCTCATGCTGAAGCAGGGGCAGGCAGAATAACCCAGCCCTGGTAGTACAGTTGTATACAACTCCAGGGCCGCTAGAACTATTTTCAGATCTCACCCCATAGCCACACTGCCATGTATGATGGCTCCTCTGGGCAGGGCACAAGAGGGGTGAGAGCCTGGAGTGTGCTTGTGTTCTCACTCGTGGGCTTGAGTCCTGGGGGTCAAATTCTCCCCTGAGTCTGGGTTCTTCACAGGCAAGGCACTCATAGTGTAGTAATGAAGATCTTTGACTCTGGCACCAAACTGCCTGGGCATGAACCCTGGCACCACCACACCTAGCTGTGTGACGTTATGTTTTCTCATTTATAAATGGCATAACATTAGTACCCATCTCATGGAGTTGAGGCAAGGACCAAATAAGTTCATCTTTGTGAGTGCAGAGAGGATGAGCTGGCCCATAGTGAGCGTATGTAAATATTAGCTGTGATGACACTTCCTGCTTCTCATGCAATTTTACATCATATCTGAAGAATGGACGGAACCGTTTATACTTCATATTCTTGGTGTTAGAAGCTAGCACAGTGTTTCTTGATGTTTCTATTAAATAAGTGCGAGGATAGCCAGCAGTCTCCTTCCACATTTTTTAGTGACTTTCTAAAGAGCTTCTCAGGTTGAATATTAGGCTTACAAGTGCCCTGAACCTGCAAGTGGCCTTGGTAATCCTTTAAACACTAAGATTCCATGTCCAAAATCTATGATTTTCCCATGTCAGATCTGAGCCGAAGGTAAAAATAACAGTTTGATTCATAAAGGATTGACTCTCTGAAGCTAGGCTTTGTAAATCACTAGATACCTTTGAGCAGAAAGTTTAGATATGTAGGGCAAACTACCTCAGCTATGTAAGAATCCAGCGATGGAATCCTTGGGGGATGGCAGATTCTTCTACTAAGTTTTGTAGGAGCAAGAGCTCTCCAGTTTGTCCCTTGAGCTCTGGGCTAGAGTAGGGTTGAGCTGGGTCTGAGAAACTCAGTCACCCTGAGTCTCTTGATTTAAATATTTTTTTTCTTTTGGTCTTGGTAGTAAATTAACTTTATTTCACATTGCAAAATATTAACTTCGGAATTTTCTTCTTCCTCACAAACTTTTGAAGGAATTAAAAAATATATGACTTAATTTTTTCATGAGTCTTAGTTCCTATTGAAGAAATAAAAGTATATTCTATCCAGACTTGAGTGAAGACCCCTTTAATGTCAGAAATTTTGAGAACTTCTATGTGATATTATTTCTGGTTTTAGTACCTTTTGACTAAAGAAAACACGTGATGAACAAAAGCCATTTTGAATTCAGTAATGTTAAGTGAGTTTTGCATCCTCATCCTTTTAAAAAATAATACATATTTGTCCAAAACATGCATACCTGTCTATAGACTGCTTGGGTATCTATGGATTCACAGTCCCCCTGCAACCGTGCTGCAGCTGCCCAGGGATCTTTGTCCTGGGCCTGTCTTGGCTTAAACAGGACCATCTTGTTAAGATTCTTTCATGGTGTGGGCTTTGTGTCTGGACAGTGGGAAGGCAGCTGGCGATGTGGTGTGAATCCAGCCTTGGGTGTTTTGGTGTGGGAGAGGCTGAGCTGGATGTGCCCTCCATTGCCTGCTACTGATTCTCTTTATTCATTGAAGATCCCCTCAGAGACGTGAGAAAGCTAATGGTTTAAGTACCCCATCAGAATCTCCACATTTCCACTTGGGGTGAGTCTCATCTTCACCCTTTCACCAGCTGTCCTGGTAACAATCTCCCTTCCATTTCCTTGTTCTTACAGCATACCCCATAGAATCAAGCCTCGTTATTGCCAGGGCTGAACTGACTTTTTTGTTTTTGTTTTTGTTTTAAGCAGTACCATTGTGCACCTTGGGAAAATTCCTGTGTTGATCTAATTTTACCATATTCTTCACTCCACTGACCACTCCAATTAGGATACTCCTGGCACTCTTGGTTTTAGAGAGGCTTAGATATGTGGCTATTTATCCTTTGGTCTTCAGCACTGGTTTTGACTTTACTAATCTGGATTTTCCTGGATCCAGAGCTGGAAGTGATGTTACGAGAGTCTCAGTAGGAAGCCCCAGGCTGTGGGTTTGGCAGCAGGCTTATCTCTGACTATATTTTGGTTGAAACCAGTGGTGGTTGGGATGTACTTTAATTTGCTGGTATTTCTGATAGCACTTGAAACAGAATTCTGAACAGCGAAAAAGTTGGTCCTCTGTCTCTCTCAAGATGGCTGGGACTTTGGGGAAAGTGGTCTTTAGTTGAATGATTCTTCCTAGACTTAAAAAAAAAAAAAAAAAGAGCCACTCTGGTCATAATCCCAATATTTCCAGGGCAACCATAGCCCACAGATTCCTCAGTCCTCCCTTTTACTGTCCTCTAGGGAAAAGACCAGTGCTTCTAGGCCTCTGGTTCCCCCCTCCTACAAAGTGGTTGGCAGGGTGCCCAGGCTGTATCCTCGGAGAGTTACCGGCTTTCCATATGGGCTGATGACAGGGATTTGAAAGCGAGCTCCTGTCCTCTGTCTCTCCACCCCCAGACAGACCAAGGGCTCTGCTTCAGCACTGTGCACTACCCACGTAGGTCTGTCCCACAGTGCACTGGGTTGGTGCAGCTTTGTGGGTTGGTTTTGCCTTTTAAAAAGGGGATGGCTTTGAAAGTTGCCTAAGCATGCCATAAAGCTTGGAAGGAAAGCCTGAGAAATGCCTTATGTGGAGTAGCCTGGTCCACCTCTGCTAGCTCGGCTGCCCGGTGCTTGCCTGGCTTCGCAGGTCTTTGCATCACCGTAACTGTCATGCCATGAATGTGTTGTGTCCAGTGTCTGCTTCGAGTGCTTCTCTCTTGAGATGGGCTCAGGCAAGACCCCCAGCCAGCAGGGCCATCCTTATTCTTTCTGTCTGCTTGCCAGCTTGCCCACTAGTTCTTTCTACAGTTCCACAGCAGCATGTGAGGGGGATGGGTCATGTCATTGCCCTTTTCTTCCCTGGAGCATGTGCATTTCTGTTTGTGAAGCAGGTGGGCTTGGTAAGAGTCATTGCCTGTATGTACTCCAAGGTTCTTTGGTAGAATGAAGCAGGCAGGGAGAAACGTCTCCATAGACCCATGGAGCTGAGGGTCAAGTAAGAAAGGTAACCAGTTCTGACAGTTTCCTCTTTTCCTCTGATTCAGCCTCAAGTCCCTGGTAGATGGATATAAGCAGTGGTCGTCCAGTGCCCCCAACCTGGTGAAGGGCCCAAGGAGTAGCCCGGCCCTGCCAGGGTTCACCAGCCTTATGGAGATGGGTAAGCATAGCTCCTCTTGAGAGTCTTGGCTGTCTCCCTGCTCCCTGGGGGCATTCTTGCCCAAGCTTCTAGGACCATTTAAGGACCCCTAGCACTGCTTCATGGAGGAAACATTGGGAATGTTTTTGTTCTAGAATGTTCAGTGTTCTAGAAACTCATACTACACTTGTATTAAGGGGCCGGTATTAGTCAGGGTTCTCCAGAGGGAGAGAACCAATAGCAACCAAAAGGAAGTTTATTAGGGAGAATTGTCTCACACAGTTACAAAGGCAAAGTCCCATGACAGGCCGTCTGCAAGCTGGAGAATGAGAAAAGCCTGTAGTATGGCTCCCAGGGAAGACAGTAGAGTGGCTCAATCCCAGTTTGAAAGCCTTAACACCAGGGAAACCAGCAGTGCAGCTCCCAGTCTGAGGCCTGAGAGCCTCCGAAAGGCCTCAGTTACAAGTCTGAGAGTCCAAAGGCTGAAGAACCTGGACTCTGATTTCCAAGGGCAAGAGGAGAAAAAGTGTCCCTCTCCAGAAGGGAGAAACAGAGAGAGGAAGCTCAGCAAACTGAGCATCCCCCTTTTTCTGCCTGCTTTGTTCTAGCCTTGCTGGCAGCCAGTTGGGTGGTGCCCATCGACATTGAAGGTGGGTCTTCCTCTCCCTGCCCCCTGACTCCCATCTTAGTCTCCCCTGGAAACAGCCTCACAGACACACCCAGCAACTGTGCTTCACCAGCCATGCAGGCATCCCTCAGTCCAGTCAAGTGGATACCCAAGTCACTATCACAGATCCCTTATGAAAGAAATGGCAAATTAGCGGATCTTTTATTCTGCTCTAAGGAAATGGGCTCTGGAATGGAGAGTGGTTTCCCTGTGTTGGGGGGTGGATAAAGCCCCCTTGGTTCAGTGTTCAATTCCATGTCCTGCTCATCACACCATTGAACCTTTGTGTCCCTGAGACTGAGACAGGAGGCCTGGGGTGAGGGGAAAGGGCCAGATTCTTATTCCTGCCACCTCATTTCCATTTCCTGTTTCTCTTCCACTCTTGTCATCTTCACAGAGGATGAGGACAGTGAAGGCCCAGGGAGTGGAGAGAGTCGCCTACAGCATTCACCCAGCCAGTCCTACCTCTGTATCCCATTCCCTCGTGGAGAGGATGGCGATGGCCCCTCCAGTGATGGAATCCATGAGGAGCCCACCCCAGTCAACTCGGCCACGAGTACCCCTCAGCTGACGCCAACCAACAGCCTCAAGCGGGGCGGTGCCCACCACCGCCGCTGCGAGGTGGCTCTGCTCGGCTGTGGGGCTGTTCTGGCAGCCACAGGCCTAGGGTTTGACTTGCTGGAAGCTGGCAAGTGCCAGCTGCTTCCCCTGGAGGAGCCTGAGCCACCAGCCCGGGAGGAGAAGAAAAGACGGGAGGGTCTTTTTCAGAGGTCCAGCCGTCCTCGTCGGAGCACCAGCCCCCCATCCCGAAAGCTTTTCAAGAAGGAGGAGCCCATGCTGTTGCTAGGAGACCCCTCTGCCTCCCTGACGCTGCTCTCCCTCTCCTCCATCTCCGAGTGCAACTCCACACGCTCCCTGCTGCGCTCCGACAGCGATGAAATTGTCGTGTATGAGATGCCAGTCAGCCCAGTCGAGGCCCCTCCCCTGAGTCCATGTACCCACAACCCCCTGGTCAATGTCCGAGTAGAGCGCTTCAAACGAGATCCTAACCAATCTCTGACTCCCACCCATGTCACCCTCACCACCCCCTCGCAGCCCAGCAGTCACCGGCGGACTCCTTCTGATGGGGCCCTTAAGCCAGAGACTCTCCTAGCCAGCAGGAGCCCCTCCAGCAATGGGTTGAGCCCCAGTCCTGGAGCAGGTGAGTCTTCTTCCTCTTTTCTCTTTCCTTTCTTTGTGCCTCCTCAGGGAGTGAAGATGTTTGCAGGCCTCATTTTCTCTTTCCACTTCGGGATTTGAGTGAACACCATTCCTCCTCTTAGCCAATCAAGAAATACAGATCTGGGATCAGGGAGGCAGCCAGGGCTGGCTGACTTTTCTCTGACCTGTGCCTCAGGGGTCTTCCCTGAGGATTGAAAGAAGACAGGCAGGTTCTAGGAAGAATCAGAAGACCTGGGACTCCTTTGGAATGTCCAGACCCTGAGTCTTAGGGTAGGGTAGTGTTTTCAGGGCACAGGAAGGGCAGGAGTCTAGCTTCTAGTTATTCCCTGAGGAGGATGATGCATTTTCCAGGAAGGAATCTTGCACTGCATGTGGGAGCAGTATTTTCTGCCACATAGCTGGGATTTTGCCTCTCATTATAGCATTAGTTCACACACACTCAGAAGGCAGGCTTCCACCCATTCATCACACTCTTCAACACTCACCCCTGACTCATACCTGCCTCTTCAGGCGTGGAGATGAGTCCAGGCAAATTGCTATCCCCGTGCATATGACTGCCCTCGACATCTGACACCTGGGGACACACACTCTTTCCTGTCACCATCTCTTTCCTGTCACCATCTCTTTCTCCCTGGAAGACCTAAGTCTGACTTGGAAACAGCCTCTAATCCAGTAGGAAAAGGGGGCATAGTAATACCCTTTCAATGAGATTTAAGTGTCAACAACAGTTGTATTTAACTGTTTGGCTTGACCTGCCCTCCTGTTTTTTGTTATACTCAGATATGTGACCTCTTTGGGAACAGAAACCCTACATTACTCACCTTTGGACTTCTGATACCTAGCTCTGTTCCCGTCACATGTTTATTACATGGATGAGCAGTAAATGAACAGACATGCCCTTGAGTCAGGAGGCAGCAAGCTTTTTTGGTGAAGGGCCAGATAGTAAATATTTTAGGCTTTGTAGGCCGTACAGTTTCTGTTGTAACTAAACTACGCTGCCGTAGTGGGAAAGCAGACACTGGATGTGGCTGTGTTTCAATAAAATGTTATTGTATACCTTTTTTTCTTTTTTTTGAGACAAAGTTTCTGTCACCCAGGCTGGAGTGCAGTGGTGTGATCACAGCTCACTGCAGCCTCAACCTCCTGGGCTCAAGTGATCCTCTTGCCTCAGCCTCCCAAGTAGCTGGGACTACAGGCATGGACCATCATGCCTGGCTAATTTTGCAAAAAAATTTTGTAGAGATGGGGTTTCATCATGTTGCCCAAGCTGTTCTTGAACTCCTGGGGTTAAGTGATCCTCCTGCCTTGGCCTCCCAAAGTGCTGGGATTATAGGCATGAGCCACTGTACTCCACCTAAAACCTTGTTTATAAACACAGGTGGCCAGCTTGTGTGTCATTTGCCAACATCTGCCTTCAGTTATTTCATTACATGTGACCCCCAAATGTCCTATTATTCTTATCAGATACAGGGATCATGGCATTCTAGGTCACTACTGTATCCCCAGTGCCTCCCAGTAGGTGCTCCACAAACATTTGGTGATTCATGTTCTCCTGATTGCGTAGGGATATGGTGGTGTTGGGGGGGAGTAGCGGATATCTAACCCCGAAATATGGTGCCTCATCTGATGCTTCTCCTTTTGTCTTTTTGACCAGGAATGTTGAAAACCCCCAGTCCCAGCCGAGACCCAGGTGAATTCCCCCGTCTCCCTGACCCCAATGTGGTCTTCCCCCCAACCCCAAGGCGCTGGAACACTCAGCAGGACTCTACCTTGGAGAGACCCAAGACTCTGGAGTTTCTGCCTCGGCCGCGTCCTTCTGCCAACCGGCAACGGCTGGACCCTTGGTGGTTTGTGTCCCCCAGCCATGCCCGCAGCACCTCCCCAGCCAACAGCTCCAGCACAGAGACGCCCAGCAACCTGGACTCCTGCTTTGCTAGCAGTAGCAGCACTGTAGAGGAGCGGCCTGGACTTCCAGCCCTGCTCCCGTTCCAGGCAGGGCCGCTGCCCCCGACTGAGCGGACGCTCCTGGACCTGGATGCAGAGGGGCAGAGTCAGGACAGCACCGTGCCGCTGTGCAGAGCGGAACTGAACACACACAGGCCTGCCCCTTATGAGATCCAGCAGGAGTTCTGGTCTTAGCACGAAAAGGATTGGGGCGGGCAAGGGGGACAGCCAGCGGAGATGAGGGGAGCTGGCGGGCACAGCCCTTTCTCAGGGTTGGACCCCCTGAGATCCAGCCCTACTTCTTGCACTGATAATGCACTTTGAAGATGGAAGGGATGGAAACAGGGCCACTTCAGAGGGTCTCCTGCCCTGCAGGGCCTTTCTACCCGTGTCCACTGGAGGGGCTGTGGCCATCAGCTCTGGCTGTGTAGGGGAGGAAGGGGTGCATGCATGTCCCCCACCCTCCACAGTCTTCCTTGCCTTTAGAGTGACCCTGCAGAGTCACTCAGCCAAATCTGTCTGCTGCTCCCTCTCCTCAGCCAGTTGGGTGTGCGCAGAGCTGTCATAGGGTCCCTTTGTCAGCCCCGAGTTCAGCTTCCCAAACACCAGTGTTGGATATTCTGTGATTGATTTTGGTCCTCCTCCGCTGTCCCCCAACACCCAGGAATGGGAATCTGGCTTGGTTCGAGATAGGAGCTTTTCTGTGTCCTAAGCCCTTTCATGCTAGCAGGAAGACTGAAAGCAAGGTGGCCCAGTGTGGGGTCATAGGGCTTGATAGACCTGGCACTGCCTATCTGCACTTCCAGGTGCCCCACCTATTTATCTGAGCCCACAGGTGGAAAGGGGAACTGCCTCAGTGAGAACGGGGGGACGGGGATGTTAGGAAAAATACAGTAAAGTTGCAATGAAGAGGTTCATGAAGTATGTCCTTGTTCTTTTTGGAAACTCTCGGCAAAGGGCAAACCAGCAAGTATTGAGGGTACCCATCTAGCTACTTGGGGTCAGGACCTCGTCAGACCAGGTTCGGATACAATCATCTGCTCATCCCAGGAATAGTTTCTTGGGGGACTCACTCACTGGTGCCAGTTCTAAGTCAGAGACAAAATTCCACTGTCTGTTCCTTTTGCTGTCTGAACTTTATGTGTTACTCCCTTCCTTTGGTCTTCACTCTAATCCCTGGAGTTTGTGGGCTTTTGGTTATGTTTGGTTAGTAGATATCACCGCAATGCCCTAGAACAGCTATGAAGCAGAATACCATATGGCCACCTGGACATTGGGACTTGGGAATTCACTCTCAACTGGGCCATCCATGTTGTGATGCCCTTGAAGTAAAATGGAGCCAGCAGGAGTACCTTCTGTAAATGCATGTGGCAAAGTGCTATTTATAGGGTGCCCAGGGAGCCGCTGATGTACAATAACCTTGAGGTCCCCCATACTGAAAACTGACCAAGGCCTGTGCACAGGTAGCCCCTCATGCTGGGCTCTGGACCATGAGCTGAGTAGGAAGGATAGCAGAGGCCAACCCTGACCTTCCTGGAAGTTGTTTCCTTAACTTGAATGTTGAGCTTCCTCTAAAGCTTTCTCGTGTATGTCTTCTCCATGCCACTACTCTGAGGCCTCCTGTGTTATGTGTGAACAGTTGTCTTTATGTGGGAATGACGACTTGATTGGGAGTAGAGTCTCAAGGTCATTCCCCTCTTCCCTCAAGACTCTCTGAATGCTGCTCCACTGTCTTTTGTCTTGGAGGTCACTCAGCAGGTTCCTTGCATTTGCTGCCTGGATGTGCAGCTGGCAACAGTGATGAATTGGTCACTGCTCTTTCTCTATAACTGGGATAGATGTCCTGCCTTGGGGTCACTAAAGGGGTGACCTTGTTCCTTGCTTTATGAGCCCATTAGCACTTTGGTTCAAGGGGCCCACCAAGTCTTGGACGGGAAGGCGCTACTGGTTTTATTGCCCAAGGTTTTGTTATTGCTTCTCTTCTGTGTCCTTCTCTTTGTTCAGTGAAGCCAATATGTAAGATACTGTTTTTGTCCCCATTCCCCTACTCCTGAGCTAGGAGGAAAAAATGTGAATCTTACCAGCAGTTCCAGCCAACCAAGTGATTCTTCTTCATTCTTGATGGGGAGAAGTACATACAAAGTTTGTTCTGACAGGGCGCGGTGGCTCACGCCTGTAATCCCAGCGCTTTGGGAGGCAGAGGCAGGTGGATCACCTGAGGTCGGGAGTTCGAGACCAGCCTGACCAACATGGAGATATCCTGTCTCTACTAAAAATACAAAAAAATTAGCCAGGCATGGTGGCACGTGCCTGTAATCCCAGCTACTCGCAAGGCTGAGGCAGGAGAATCGCTTGAACCTGGGAGGCGGAGGTTGCAGTGAGCCAAGATTGCGCCATTGCACTCCAGCCTGGGCAACAAGAGAGAAACTCTGTCTCAAAAAAAAAAAAAAAAAAAAAAAAAGTCTGTTCTGTGGCCTCCTTCCCCCGGGCCCTCCATAACCTCAGGCTAAACCATGAGCACATCTGTATATCCTTGGCTCCACTAAATGGCCCTCTTGTGGCCCTCCAAACCATGCTGCCTATACACAGTGCTCTGTGGTATGAAGCAGAGATTTTTCCTTTGCTCATTTTTAACTTTTGCCATTGTGGTAGGTTGCAGCCATCTTTCTAGATGTAGTGTAACTGATGTAGTGTAACTGAATGATGGTCACCTGCCATTGAGTGAGAGGTTGAGTGCCATCCTTACTTGTCCACTGTGGGGAAAGATAAAGCAAGCCTGGGTCTTTGCTAAGGAAATAATTGTACCTGAAAGAAGCAAAAGCAGGGCTATCCAAAGGTGCTACTGTGAGCATCCATGAAGAAGGAACAGTTACCATCTCTCAGCTCCTACACACCTGGTCTCTGATGGGCCCCTGACTGCTGCACTCTCTCAGTGGGGCAAGGTTGGAGATGGGCTAAGGATCTGTATAGTAGTAGCAGGTCTCAGTGGCTTTCTATTCGCTCAGGTTCCCTTGTTCTGTGGTCCTGGTCGGGAGCAGGCCCTGGAGCTGTGGATGAAGCCACTTGAGTGGCAGTAGCCGGCCCCCCTTTCCTCTGCCTTCCCTTTGCACAAAGACACGTTCCTTCTGCTCTTGGCAGGTGCTAACTTCATGGAAGATGGTAATAGGAACAGATACTGCTCTCTGCCCCTGCTTCTTGGATTCTTCAGCTCCTACCGCTGATTCGGATTATCCCCTTTTGACCCTCTTGGGGATCCAGACTGCTGCCAGGAGGCTGAGTAGATACCTCAGTTATCTGTATGTTATTTCTGAGAGGCTTTGGCGGATCCTCTTCACTTGGCATCCTGTGGCATCCCTAGGGTCTGGTGGTAGCAGTAATAGCAACAATGATATCTTACATCTGGACAACTCAGAATAGTGCTAACTTTTCCTCCTGACCTTTGCAAAATGACATCATTTTCCTTGTACATTTGATACCCTTGCTAGTAGAGAAGGGGAAATGCTTAAAGATGAAAATTCAAGTGAAGAGAAATGAAAAAGTGGCTTGGACTAATTGCTGAGTGAGGCCACTGGGCTCAGAACTGAACAGGTTGGCTGCATTCCCCATTCTGCTTTTGCTGTGTGGCCATAGGCTTGTCTCTTTAGCCCCTCTCAGATTTCCTTCCTTTAAAAGCAATCATCACATGCTTTCCTCTCAAGGGAGTTGGGTGTATGTATCAGAGAAGGTCAGTGAAACACCATAGCTCCTTGCCAGCTCCTAGAGGAAGCTTCTTTCATCTATACAGGATGAATCGCTGAAGTTGAGAGTGTGGCTCTCATCACCTTTGCCTTGAGGGAACTTGCCTTTTCTTTCGTCCTTTGGCTTCTGGAAGAGGAGTGATTTGGAGGTGGTTGAGCATGACTAATGGGGGCCCTGGTCGGGCCCATGCCCTTCTGCCGCATTTATATAGCATCTGGTGTTGACAAGCATTCTTTCCTAATTCCCCCACTTAACTTGTCTGATGCTGTCTGCCAATGTCATCCTCACCACTTGTGTCTTACAGAGAAGGAAATGGGAGAGGGAGGTTGTGTCTTACAGAGAAGGAAATGAGAGAGGGAGGTTGGTAGCAACATCAGAGTGACAGTTGGCTGTCTCTCATTTCTTGGGGTCATCAGTCTGATTTGTTTAGAGCCTGGGATCATCCCAGTTCCTGGAAGAATCTTTGGAAAAGGGTCCCCTTGTTCTTGGGACATGTGTCATGGTCACTAAGCCCCCTTTCCCTCAGGCTACTGTTGCTCAGGGACACAATGAGATACCCCAAGGACATCTAGACCTGACTTTTCATGAACTCTCTTGCCTCTGTGGTCCCCACATTGGAGACCTCCCTCCCTCCTCCTTCCCTTGTGTGAAGGAGACACCTCCCGAGCAATCCTAACTCATCCAGCTCACTTTTAACAAAGCAAAGAGCAGAGGGCACTGAAGACTGGATGGCTGTGAATGGTACACCTTGGGGTTGAAACCGTGTTGGCAGGAACCTGGTGATAAAAGCTGCCTACTTCCTGGGTGTGTGAATTTGCACATATCTTTTCCCCTCACTGGACTTCAGAAGCCTACTGTGAACTGGGGACGATGCTATCTACTTTCCCTCCTGAAGCCCTTCTAACTTTCAAATGTATGGTCCTGGGGCCATGAGTCCTGCACAGAAACTGCAGCCTTGCCAGATTGCTTCCCTTGGTGCAGAAAAGTGTGTGTGTGTGTGTGTGTGAAATATACGTACGGTTTTACGTCAAAAACAGTCGAATATCAGCTATTTCATATGGTTCACCCTAATGTACCTGCCTCTCTCTTTGGCTTTAGGTCTGAGAATGACTTGTCTTTGTCAAGGTATACTATTGTTAGAAACGCATTACCAAATGCATCTCTTCTGTCGGATCAGCGTATTCCTAGATTAGGAATTCAAATTAATGAAAATTCACATATGAAAGGAAAATCCATTGCTATTTCTGGAGAGGACCTCAGTCCTGGGCTTTTCCCTGGCATTGCTACCTGGGTGGGTGCTCACCACTCAGGTGCTGGTGTTGGAAGGCAGGAGGAGGAAGCTGAAATCCTGCCGATTAAGGCTAATTAACAGGGTTTAGGTGCCTAATTATCATGACTCAGCCCGGGACTTATGGTTAGCCGTGCAGGCCAGGTGAGTCTCTTATGGACTTCCTCTCAGACTGCTCTTTCTCATTTTGTCCTGATGAGATATTGACAGTCATGTCCACCCGCTTCCTCATCCATTTCCCGTCTTGGGCCCTGGAAGTACGGGGGCCTCTGTAGGCTGCCTAGGGAGCCCTGGCTTTGCTCTTCGTGTTGGGCTCACTCCATGATCAGGAGCCGGTGGGACTGGTCCTTCCTGATTCTTACTGTCTGTGGTTCCCCATCCCCTACGGGGAGCCTGCTTTGGGCCTTGAGCTGGATAGAGAGAAGAGCTTTGGGGCCCAGCTGGTTATAGGAGCTGAGCTTTTCCACACCTCTCTTTGTTAACCCTTGGAAACAGACCTGCCTTTCACCTGACCCATCTTCCTACCTGTCTGGTCTGACCTGCCCTCTTTGAAAGCACTCATCACCTAGTTTTACTAGGCTGATTGGCAGATGTGGACATGACAGGTGTCTATCGAGATAGGTGTCTAACTAGTTAGGTGTCTCAGGATTGGACAGCAGAATACCATTCCAGGGGTGCACAGACAGGCCTCTCCTACCGGAACATGAGGGATAGACGTCTGGGCATTCTGAACCCAGAGGTCAGAGTAGTCACAAGCGGAGCCCTGGGGAGCGAGGGCCCCAGGGCCGTGGTGTTCCTTGCCCTGCGCTCACTGAAGTCCAAGGCCAGGTTTCAGAAATAGTGTGCTGCCTGTTCCTGAGATCCTTCACACCTGGACACCAACCCAGACAAAGCCTGACTTAAAATTTTGATACTGTATTCATCGTGGAATTTTTCAATAACTCTGATTTTTAAAAAATACTGCATTGCAATATGATTTACCTTGATTACTGAGGCTCTTTTTTTTTTGGCACCCCTTTAAATTTTAACCCAAGGTGAGGGCCTCACTCCACTCTATACCCAGCCCTGCCTGCCCCTCACCTGGACCTGTGAGAGGGGCTTAGGTACCACTGTGAAATACGTTTTAAATTTTTACTTGCCCTTCCCCTCAGGTCCTGAGTGAGGCAGTGGCTCTCTGGCGGTGCTCGCATTTAAATAGGAGTGTGTAGGCTTACAGCAATGAAACATCTAGGAGCTTTTAACTTTGGATCTATACCTGGGTGTGACATTTCCTTGGTGTTCTCTGGCTGCCTTTCTGGCTCTGCAGCCCTGAGGGCACTTGTGTGTGTGTGTGTTCTCTGGAGAAGGGAAGTGATTATGGCAGAGAGGCTCCTTTAGATTCTCCTCTTAAACCTCTTTGGAACATGTTTGAATTCCAGAAGTGAATGAACTTCATTCATTCTCTCGTCCAGATTTCAGAAGGGACTAAAGTGAACGGAGGCTTTTTCACTCCCTGGCATGCTAAGAGCCACATTCCCTAGCTCTGTGCCTGCACAGTGAGTCTTCAGAATTTGGCCCATCACACCCTCTGCTAGTATCGTTTCCACCACCCTCCTCATCCTCTGTCATCTTTATTTCATTCTCATCGTTTATCTCTACCTCCAGTTCAGATGCCATGCTGGCTGTGGCTCTTTTCTTCATCACCATCAGAGTGAGGCAAAGATGTATCCTGGCCTAGTTATAAAGACGAATAATACATGATAAGAAATCATTAATTTTTTTCCACGTGGGGGGCGGTGCTGTCCTAGTGATTCATATATATATAATTTTTGACTCCTTACAATAATTCTGGGATGTGGGTATTACCCCCATTTAAGAATGTGGAAACCAAGGCTCTGATGGCTCTGTAATTTGCCCAGGGTCACACAGCTAGGAAGCAAGTTGCTGATCTGCTTGGTTCCAAAGTCACCTCTCTTTTTCCTCTGAGCACATTTCTAAGCCACTACTTAGAAGCTCTTGAGATAAAGTTGGCCTAGCTCAGGTCCACCGAGGTTTTGAGATTGCCCTTTGCCCAAGGAGGAGTTGTGTCCTTGGCTCACCTGTCATCTGCCTGTGACTGGACTTGAACCCTCGCACGTCTCAGCTGACATCCTTGATGCTGCTGGCTGCCTTCCTCGCCCTGTTTCCTCTCCATGACTCCAGGGGTTTGAAGCACACAGGAGCTGGACATGTCAATTCTGTAGCTCTTCTCCCAATACCACTGAAGGCCGTGAGCCTCTCTCCTGTTTCCAGCCTGCAGGTGCCCTGTTGCTGCTCTTCATTCCAGCTTCTCCTCACTTTTCTCTCAGTCTCTTGAGCTTGGAAGCCTTATTGTAGCTTGTGTCTCCTCCCTGGGCACTTGAGGTCAGGCTTTTGCCTTTTTGTCACATTGAGCCACATGCCTTTGATACACAGTTGTAGCAAAGAAGGGAGGTGATGAACTTGCTCACTTTCTTTTCTGATTTCCCTCCCTACTCATCCTGCACTCCCCACCGAAACCCAGATATCTTATAGTCTAAGGCTTGTAGAGGATTAAGGAAAGGAATTGGAGATGGGTTTTACTTAGTTCACAGAAAAGCTTTCTTTGGGATTTTTCCTCCCCCTTAGGGCTTTTAAGTCTAGGTGAAGTGAAAGTTCACACATGTGTTTGTTTGGTTGCTCTGTAATTAGCTACTAGTTTTTATCCCTAGACCTTCTCTGCTCCAGTGTCTTGTTCATGTGTCCTGACCCCGTGTCCTTGAATTCCCACTTTGCTTTGGGATTTAAGTTATTGTATGTTGTCAACAATATTTAAAGATGAAAAAGTCCTGAAGGAAACTTACCAGGTTCTTTCCTTTGGCTTTTTTTTTTTTTTCTTTCGAGGTACTGTAAATTGTTAACTAGGGATGCCAAGCAGGCTTGGTTCAATGGCTAAACCTCTTATTGTATTACAGTGTAATGCTGATCTCAGCCTGGTCTCAATGCCAGAGCACACAGAGACTTGAATAAAACTGTTATAACGATTACCTCTGGTTTGTTGTGGTTCTTTGTAAACTCATCCTTTCCCCCTTTTTTTTCTTTTTTTTTTGAGATGGAGTTTTGCTCTTGTTTCCCAGGCTGGAGTGCAGTGGTGTGATCTCAGCTCACCACAACCTCCACCTCCCGGGTTCCAGCAGTTCTCCTGCCTCAGCCTCTCAAGTAGCTGGGATTACAGGCGCCCACCACCATGCCCACCTAATTTTTTGTATTTTCAGTAGAGACGGGGTTTCATCATGTTGGCCAGGCTTGTCTTGATCTCCTGACCTCAGGTGATCCACCCACCTTGGCCTCCCAAAGTGCTGGGATTACAGACGTGAACCACCACACCCAGCCTCTTTTTACTTTTTAATTAAACTGAAGGCCATGAGTCTCTCTCCTCTGTTTCCAGCCTGCAGGTGCTCAAGTAACTGAGCTGTTTCCAGGGAGTTTTCATATGTAGGAAAGAAAGAACTGGAGAAAGACGGAAATGCTGTAGAAAAGAGGAGGTGGGTGAGAAGCTTCTCTGAGGGTCTAGGAGCCTCCAGCAGGACCATGGGAGCCTTTGTGAATGATGGTGCTGAACGGTGCAGTCTCTGCTCACAGTTGATTTTCACACAGCTCGTGGATTTTGGCTTTCAGAGCCACTTGTGAATATGTGCTGTCTCCTACTCCCTACAACTAACCATGCTGACATTCCTGGTGAAGTTGTGAATGGAGCTAAGAGGACAAACAGATGGAGTTATAGACATGTGAATAGGATTTGCTGGCTGTGAGTCACAGATTCCTTGTAGCTCTGATGCTCTTAATGGCACTCGTGAGCTGTGTGACCTTGGCAAGGCACTTAACCTCTCTGGGCCTCTTCTGGAGCAAGCTGATCACAAAGCAGCCTTTGTGCTCTCACTTTCCATGATTTTGTGTTAGGTGGGGATGAGGATAAAAGCAGACAGGATGAATCTTGTTTGAGGCCATTCTTCACTGCTTGAATCCTCTATTTCATCACTCAGCTACATGTGGAAGAAAACGACTTCTGAACTTAAATATTCAGACACCCTTGTGTGAATGCTGTAACCTTTCATTTCTCTCTGACCTCTTTGCTCTTTTCTCTGACACCTGAGGAGGGGTGACTCCGAGGTGGGGTTCTGTGCTGGATGCTTGGATTGGGAGGGCAAAGCTGACATTTTGCTGAGCCTTGAGGTTAGTTTCACCAGGATCCAGATAACCTTTGTAAAGCCAACTGGGCAAAAATGAAAAATTGACCAATCTCCTTGCTGGTGCCATATGGAAAGGTGCCATACTATTTTTGTTTTGTTGAGACAGAGTCTCGCTCTGTCACCCAGGCTGGAGTGCAGTGGTGCCATCTCAGGTCACTGCAACTTCCGCCTCCTGGGTTCAAGTGATTCTCATGCCTCAGCCTCCCCAGCGGCTGGGATTACAGGCACATGTCACCATGCCCAGCTAATTTAGTATTTTTAGTAGAGATGGGGTTTCGCCATGTTGGTTAGGCTGGTCTCAAACTTGTGATCTCAGGTGATCTCCCCACCTCGGCCTCCCAAAGTGCTGGGATTTCAGACATGAGCCAGTCACCCAGCCAGGCACCATATACTGTTAACATGTATACAAATTGCTGCATGTTTCTGGAAAGCAGCTTGGCCATATGGTATTAAAAACTACAACACAGGCCTAGTAATTCTGTTACTACTCCATAGTAATAAAAACTAGTTTAATGTGTCAACTGTTGCACTAAGACCTGACCTATGTTATCTCATTTACAATATTTCAACATCTTTAAGAGTACATCCATTATTATCTCCATTTTACATTGAGGAAAGTGAGGGCCAGAGGGTTGAGTAACATGCCCAAGACCGCACAACTGGCAAATAGTGGAGCTGGGACTTGTCTGATTCTGGCATCTGCGTTTGTATCATAAGATTGAGTTGGGGCCTGGCACGGTGGCTCACACCTGTAATCCCAGCACTTTGGGAGGCCAAGGCGGTTGAATCACGTGAGGTCTGGAGTTTGAGACCAGTCTGACCAACATGGTGAAACCCTGTTTCTACTAAAATTACAAAATTAGCCGGGTGTAATGGCACATGCCTATAATCCCAGCTACTCGGGAGGCTGAGGCAGGAGAATCGCTTGAACCTGGGAGGCAGAGGTTGCGGTGAGCCGAGATCGCGCCATTGCACTCCAGCCTGGGCAACAAGAGCGAAACTCCCGTCTCGAAAACAAACAAAAAAAACAAACAAAAAAAGATTGAGTTGGATGCAGACAAAGATTTACAAGTCATCCCAATGTTATTTACAGGATCATTCAAGAGACTACAAATGACCCAAATAAGAATGCGGGTCTTCTGCCAGCCTCTTCCTCACCCAACAACATGGAATCTGATATAGTGAGAGCAAGAAGGCTCTCTTTACAAACTAGAAAACTGTCTAAATGCCTGACAACAGGAGGTTGCTTAAAGTCTGCTGCTTTTCAAGGCATTTATTGAGTACCTTCCTGTGCTAGGTACCATCTGGACACTAGAGATTTGCAGCTTCTTTAGCCAGGTTCTCAAAGACTATATTGTCTGGTGGGAAAGACCAAAATATGAAGAAATCTGTTTAATGTAATGTAGTCAGCGCCATGATGGGGTGCTAAAGGAGCACTGTGGGCTGGGTTTAGCCTGAGCTGGGGCTTCACCTCATGGAGGAGACAGAACCTGAGCTGAGTCCTAAAGAATAAAAGATACCAAGGCGGGAGATGGTGAGATGCTCCCTCTCCTCTCAGGCAGCACAATTCTGTGTCCACCTTTTTAAAAAAGTGAACCTTGTAATGCCTCACCCTGGGTTCCTAGCGCTGATTTTATCATGGACCATGTGAGATATTTTGTGGCCATTAGATTATTCATGAACAGGTTATACATGAAGCTAAATTTTTCATGAATAATTAAGAAAATGTGAAAATGCTCATGATAAGCTAAATGGTAGGATATAAAAAATTTCAAAAGCAATTGGATCCCTATTATATACAGAAAATATATTTACATTTAAAAAAATACACACCTGATAGGCTCAGGAAAAAGACTGGGAGAAAGTCAGCTATCTTTGTGGGGAGGTATCATAGATGGTTTAAAAATGTTCTTTTGGAATTTATTAAACTTTAAAAAAAAGAATATATGTTACTTTTCTATTCAGCAAAACAATGGCAAATAAAATAGTTTGAGGATGCTTTCCCATGCTAACCAGGTTCCTTTGCAGGTGTTCCAGAGGCCACTGGCTTCAAGGTTGTCCCCTGCCCTAAGCAGTATAACGAGGTGATTCCAGAAGCCCTGCTTATGGAAGGTAGGACTGGGGCCAACTTCCTGGTCCCCCTCACCCCTTTCTTCGTCCCTTCCCTCCAGTGGAGAGTTGGTGCTGGAATGGTGAGCACCTGCAGACTGCTAGCAGAATCCAGTGAGGGCACATGTACAGAGAACATTCTAAGAAGGAGGTGCTGTGGGGGTTTCCTAGGGGCACAGCTGGTTAGGGATGTCAGGTCCTGCACAGGCAAATAGCACGTTCCTACAACACAAGTGCACACCCCTCTGTCAAAGGAGCTGCACCAGGCCTGCGTCCACCACACCCTGTTTACGTGCCTATGGAATGTGGTTCATTCAAGGCTGGGGCTGATGTCCTAATCCTCTGAGCCCTTGGTCCCCACCCGATCTAGTCCAACTAGCTCAAGCTGGAGAACATGTTTTGGCATAAGGGGGTGGGGTGGAGATGAGGGTGGGGGTCTGCCACTCTGTCCCCTCCTCCTCTCAGTCATTGGTCACACTGCTGCTATCCAACCAGGAGTGCCTGTTATGGGGTCTCAGTGGGAGGCACTGGACACTTCTTTGTGACGTAAGGACAATGGGGAGGCTTGAGAAAGATCAGCCTAGGAAATGTGCTCATGGAACACAGGTTGGATCACGCCACGCCCAATGTCTGCAGGAAAGGATCCACATTCTTGAGCACGGCCTTCAGGGCCCCACCCAATCTGACCTGAGTCTACCTTCCCAAATGCCCATCACAATTTCCCTGCCTCCAGTCCTTCCCCATCCCTAAGACTCAACACTTCTCTGCTTCCTGAAACACTTGATTTTCCAGGAATGGAGGCCTCCTGCTTGAAAGAGTATTATCCTCTTTATGAACTGACTTTCTGGCTATCTACCTAGGTGTCTTAAGAAGACTGCAACCTGTAAGTGGTCACCATGGGTGCCGTGGCTCACGCCTGTAATCCCAGCACTTTGGGAGGCAGAGGCAGGTGGATCACCTGAGGTCAGGAGTTCAAGAACAGCCTGGCAAACGTGGTGAAACCCTGTCTCTACTAAAAATACCAAAAAAAAAAAAAAAAAAAATAGCTGGGTGTGGTGGCATGTGCCTGTAGTCCCAGCTACTCTGGAGGCTGAGGCAGAAGAATTGCTCAAACCCGGGAGGCAGAGGTTGCAGTGAGCCGAGATGGCACCACTGCACTGCAGCCTGGGTGATACAGTGAGATTCCATCTAAAAAAAAAATAAATAAATAAGTGGTCAAATGTGAGGGAAAGAGACAAGGCAAGATGGGAAAGAGAAGAAAGGAATAGAGATCAGATTCCATCCCCTAGAAGATGATAGTCTCCCTGGTGAGACTGAACACGCTAGGATGCAGTGGAGAAGGGTACCAAGCACCACGGGACACCTGTAGATGGAGGGACATCCTGAGGGCCATGGCTAGTGTGGAGTGGCCCGATAACGTAGCACCGATTCCCACCTAGTTCTATACTTTACCCAACCTGAAAAGAAAAGACTCATCCCTCCAATCCTCTGACAAATGGTTATCGAGGGATGACTCTGGTCCCAGTTGCAGTGTGACTGGCAAATTCCAGTTCTGTGTGGGACCAGACAGGTCAATGAGTGAGGCACTCTTATGACAGTAAGATGCAGTGGGGAATGGTGCTGTAAGGAAAGGCATTCCCCATCTAAAAGCATGTCCTTAACTAATGCTCAAACACATCATCTCAGTGTTTTAAAACCCCTGAGGGTGAATGGGACAGAAAATGACTGCCACTTTTTTGGAATTTGCCATCTAGTGGGAAAATCAGCTTACCCAACAATTAAGGCACTATGATAATCTATATTTCAATATCTATCTATCTGTTAATGTCTATCTCTGTCTCTATATCTGTATTTCCTATATGGAGAGAGGGAGCGAGATAGGCACAGATAGGCAGACAAGAGGTGGGAAGTGGTGTCCCAGTTGAGACCTGGAAGATGACTAAGACTTAAATAGTCCTGGGAGTGGTGTTAATGGGGAAGCCAGGTGTTGGGAGCAGCTGTGTGAAGGGGATTGGATTTTATCCTCTGCCAGCTCACTTATCTTAAATTCCTTATCTCACAGAGCACTTTGTTCTTGCAGCCTTTTCTTTGTGATAAGCACTAGTGTTAGGCAATAACTGGTAGGGAAAAAAAGATTAATTTTTACATAGGTGGGAGATGAAGAGGGTGCTTCCAGCTGGGTTCTGCCTGTGCTATTTAGTTTGCCCTGGGGTGAGGAAAAAAATGTGTCTCTCAGGACACATTCTATGCAGAATCAGAAAAGGAAATGGAAAATAACATGTGGGGTGAGAGGTTTAGGAGATAAATTTCAGGCATAGGGGATCTTTTCTATGCTCCTATCTCTGAGCAAATGATATTAAAGTCAGAATATAACAGCCCCTCCCTCCTTCCTCCTACAACCCATCTTGGGAGTTTTGTCCCAGTAATGTAACAGTTTTCAATGTTTGGCCCGTCGATCCCTGGAGATAGGGGAGGTCAAAACTATTTTCACAATAACACTAAACTGTTGTTTATCTTTTTCACTGTGTTGACATTTGCACCGAAAAGCACGGCAGGTCAAACTCCTGGCATCTTGGGACAGGCAGAGACAGCAAATGGGACAGCACTCCTTGTATTCTCCATCACCAGGCGCTTGAAGTAATGGGAATGCCAGTTTCACTTAAGAATGCCCTTGATAAAGCAATAGTTACTTAGTAACATTACTATGTTAATTAAATCCTGACTCTTGCTTAACTATATCTTTTTAACATTCTCTGAGATGAAATGTGAAGTCACATCGTCACATCAAGTATTTCTGCTGTGTATTGAACTACAAGTTTGCCTGGAGGAAAAGCACATATGTGATTGAGTTGCGAGCTGAACTAGCTGCCTTTTTTTTTCTTTTTCTTTTTCTTTTTCTTTTTCTTTTTTTTTTTTTTTTGAGACGGAGTGTCTCCCTCTGTCACCCGGCTGGAGTGCAGTGGTGTGATCTTGGCTCACTGCAAGCTCTGCCTCCTGGGTTCAAGCGATTCTCGTGCTTCAGCCTCCCAAGTAGCTGGGATTAGAGGCACGTGCCACCACACCTAGCTAATTTTTGTATTTTTAGTAGAGATGGGGTTTCACCATGTTGGCCAGGATGGTCTCGATCTCCTGACCTCGTGATCAGCTCACCTTGGCCTCCCAAAATGCTGGGATTACAGGCGTGAGCTACCGTGCCCGGCCTTTTTTTTTTTCTTTTTTAAATGAAACACTGTTTTTACTTGAAAGGATAATTGTCAAGCAAACTATGGTTATTCAGGATTGAGTATTTCACAGATATTTTCTTGCAAGTGAACAAAGTTAGCCTGTCACTTCACTGAAAACAACTGTATTTGTTGCCAACGATGAAATTCAAGCTTTCAATTGAAAATTAGAATTTTGGAAAATTTTTGTCTATCATGAACTTGACCCTTCCCTTCCCTTCCCTTTCTCCCCTTTTCCTCTCTTTTTCTTCCCTTTTTCCTCCCCTCCTTTCTTCCTCCCTGATAGGATCTTACCCTGTCACCCAGGCTGGAGTATAGTGGCATGATCAGGACTCACTGCAGCCTTGACCTCCTGAGCTGAAGCAATCCTCCTGTCTGAGCCTCCGAAGTAGCTGGGACTACAGGGACTGCAGGCACACGCCACCACACCCGACTAATTTTTCTTTTTCTTTTCTACTTCTTTTTTTTTTTTTGGTAGAGACGGGATCTTGCTAAGCTGGTCTGGAACTCCTGGAGTCAAGAAATCCACCTGCCTCAGCCTCCCCTGCTGGGATTACAGGCATGAGCCCTCACCATACCTGGCTTTGGCAGTTTCTTGGTACCTAAAGACTTTTTTAGGAAATTGGTAACAGTATCAGTCAATGTGATTTTTTGATGTCATATAATGAAATGTGTCAACACTGAAGATCTGTATAACTCGAGGAAGCAATATTTCCCAAATGGCAGTGAATGAGATTACAAAATCATGCATGCAAAAATGCATTCAAAGTCGAAGATAGAACAGCAGGTTTTAACATAACAGTACCAAAAGTTCATGGATGTGGTTTCAGATTCTCCATTCCAGCTAACTTTTAAGAAACCATAACTTGTGGAGTTTTGGAATAATATCAAAGAAGAATACCCACAATGATCTTAAAAGGCTATTAAAATACTCACTTCTTTTCCAACTACATATCTGTGTGAGGCCAGATTTTCTTCATATGTTTCAACTAAAACAAGATATTGGAACAGATTGAACACAGAAGCAGATATGAAAATTTAGGTGTCTTTTAAGTCAGACATTAAAGAGATGTGCAAAAATGTAAAATAATGCCACTCTTCCTAAATTTGTTTTTGTTTTGGAAAATACAGATTTTTTTATTAAAATTTGTTATTTATGTTAAACATTTATTACTGTTATTTTTAAATGGATCAATAAATGTTTTCCAAAAGTTTTCAGTTTCATTTTTCTTTTTTTCTTTTTAGAGATGGAGTCTTGCTCTGTCGCCCAGGCTGGAGTATAGTGGCACAATATCAGCTCACTGCAACTTCTGCCTCCTGGGTTCCGGCGATTCTCCTGGATTGAATGCATTTTGAATGCATGATTTTGTAATCTCATTCACGGCCATTTGGGAAATATTGCTTCCTTGAGTTATACAGATCTTCAATGTTGACACATTTCATTATATGACATCATTTCATTATATGACATCCATTGATTCTCCTGCCTCAGCCTCCCGAATAGCTGGGATTACAGGTGCCTGCCACCGTGCCCCACTAATTTTTGTATTTTTAGGAGAGACAGGGTTTCACCATGTTGGCCAGGTTGGTCTGGAACTCCTGACCTCAAGTGATCCGCCCACCTTGGCCTCCCAAAAATGCTGGGATTACAGGCGTCAGCCACCGTGCCTGGCCAGTTTCATTTTTGAATAGGATAACTGTGATAGATATGACACATACTCAGGTGCTCTTTGGGGTCTTCAATCTTTTTTTTTTTTTTTTAAAGGGTACTGAAACATTTGAAACACCACCAGATGGCGCTGATGAGACCAAAGAACAGATTTTGTGTGCGTGAGAAAGGAAAAGATGGAGAGAGAGAGGGAAAATATGAAAGTGGGATCATAGTAGTGAGTTTTATGATGTGAAATTTCCCAATGGCAGTGATATTTGTAGTCGCTATAGGGAAAAAGTGACAGGCTTGGGAACCTAATCAATAGGTTTCTACAATCTAAATTAGATGAGTAGATTTATGCCAAATAATATGTTGGGCCTTTTTTTTTTTTAACTTCCTCTAACAAAAGCTAAGCACATTCCTTGGAGGAGTTCCCTGCAGCCTCAGAAACTCAGCAGATTAAACTGAAAGGGTTCAGTCTTTTCCATTTTGTGTTGCTAATAAGATAACATGAATCTCTGAGGCTTAAAGGTGAAATTTAGGCAGAGTCATTCCAGGAAGGAGTGTACTATAGAAACCTCACAGCCTGCAGCTTATCCTCATGGGTCCTTGGAAGCCCTAAGTGGGGAGGAGGAAGTTGGAGTGGAGGCTGCTGAGGTGGGGACGGGAGAGGCTGCCTCTGAGATAGAGTTAGCTGGGTCTCTGGGTGACAAAATTGTATAAACGGCAGAGCTTTGTGTGAGGAACTATAAACAGGCATGGGAAAACTTGGAGCCAAATTTATTTTTCTTTCAAGGGCTGTCGGAAATAGCTGACAAAGGCCAGAATTCTTTTCCAGAGCTGAAGTTTTTATTGGCAATGCTCTTTTAAGGGCCACTAATAAGAAGAAAAGCAAGAGTCTGACCTGAAGGTTGGCTTCATAAGTGGGTTTATGAGCTGCTGAAGAAGTGGGTGCAGTGGGGTATCAACCCTCCCTCCCCTGCAGGCTGGGGGGGTACTCACATATTCACAAACACTTTTGGGAAACCCACTATGTCTGCACTACGCACTATGCAAGGTGCTGGAGCTACAGCGGAGACTGAACTAGACATGGTCCCTACCCTCAAGAGGACTTGTTTGACAAAACAAAGTCAATACTGAAGAAATCTAAACATTTTCATGCCAATGCCCCCACCCCCTACCCTGCCCCACAACTGAGTTTTAAAGTGTTTTCCTAGTCCACTCGGCTCATTCTCCGGTAAAACATAATCAGTGCAACTGGCCCAGTCAAATGGCAGGTTTTCCACATGAAGATGAGAGTCAGCATGATACTGAAAGGGGCTCAGAAGGGCAGGGGTGCTGCTTCACCTTGACTGCCTTTTCTTCTTGCCCTTCCCCCTTCCTGCCCTTCTTCTTCCTACAAATATTTATTGAGCATCTGCTAAGTGGTACATGTTGAGACAACAAAGTTGGACAAGACATACTTTGTCCATAGCCCGGTATGTGGAGCTTACATGTATGTAAATGACAATAAGAAGGGAATTGCAAATTGTGGTTAGAGGTATGAAGAGCATAGGGGATGGAAACCAATTTGAGATAAAGATGGTCAGATAAAGTCACTACAGGAAAGTGATTTTAAGTCAGGATTTCTTAACTTTGGCACTTCTGATATTTTGGGTCAGACAATTCTTTGCTATAGGGGACTATTCTGTGCATTGCAGAATGTTCAACAGCATCCCTGGCCTCTGACCGCTGGATGCCAGTAGCACCCCCTGACTTCCACTTATGACAACCAAAAATATCTCCCAACATTGCCAAATGTCTCTTAAAGGGCAACACTGCTCCCTTTTGAGAACCGCTAATTTAACCTGAGACTTAAAAATGATGAGCTCATCCAGAGAGGATTGCACTGAGGGTTTTATAGGCCACAGTAAAGAATTTGGGATTTATTCTAAGTAGAAGGCAATCAGCATTTTCCACTGGGGTGTCATTACCTACTGTGAATTTTGAAGAGATCATTCAGGCGGTGGAGTGGAGGATGGATTAACTGGAGTCATAGACAAAGTCACAGCAGTCATAGGTGGCTGTTGCAATTGTCCACCCAAACCCAAGAAATGATGGTGGCCTCAGTTGGGTGTTGATACTGGAGATGAGGAGAAGATTAATGTTCAACATTTTCAATGTTTCACATTTCCAAGAACATCCAGGTCTTGCCAATAGATTTGATGTGGAGATTCCATCCCTAAGAATACCCCCACAGTGTTCTCTTTGCTCCCTGAGTTCATGGTGCTCTGTCCCTCATGATTCTGCTTGATGGTGAGTATTTCTTAAGCAATGGTTCCTGCTCATAAACCTGGAAAGGTAGAGAAAGCAGCACTGATTAATGAATGAAGGCCAATCACGGCTAGATCCCAATACTTCACTTCCAACTTTCAAAGCCACTGATGAGGCAAAATCCACTCAGCATCCCCAATGTAGTTGAGGAATCTTGTGTTCCTCAGTAGGGATTAATGGAGGCATAGTTATCTGGAAGCTCAGAGTGGGAATAAGCAAAGCTGTTGGTTTGCATGACACTTGGCCATGGGCCTCTTGACAGAAGCTGGAGGGTGACTGACAGGCATTTGGGATGTGGGGACTGAGGCTCTTTGGTGAAAAGCAGTGTTCCCAGGAAAGTGGGTGAGCAGCAGGGACAAACTCTTAACAACATATTAGAGGCACAAGTAAGGCCTGTTTGTGAGTTTGTTTTTAATTGCATAGAACATGGTTGCCAGGATTTTAAATTGTAGTGCTCTAAGCATGTAATTAAGCGAGAAGGCTTAGTTGGCACCAGTTGGGATCCCAAGTTGTTGATGCAGCTTATGATAATGATCTTCTGATATTAAAATTCAGAAGCTGAGTGTGTGTATGTCCCAAGCCCTATTTGTATGTTTTTCCTCTGGGCCTCCAAGCTCCAGGTAAAAATAATCAGGCTCCTTAAGTGTGTTTTTCATTGTTGGTGTGAAAATCCCTGTCTAGGTCTCGGTCTGGCTTGTGGCAATGAGGTTCAGGTGAAGAGGTTTCTGGATCTGAAATAAAGGTCGATCATCTCAGCCCAGTCATGAGCCATCCCAGTCACTAAAATGCTCCATGCAATCTCTTCTTCTGCCTAAAATCACAGGATTTTAGAGCTGGGTGTGAACTGAGCAATTATCTTCTCATTTTCTATATGAGAAATCTGAGGGCCGGAGTCATGAACTGACTTCCTCAAAGCCACTCAGCTGATGCATGGCATCAAGAAATAAACAGGGGCCAGGTGCAGTGGCTCACACCTGTAATCTCAGCACGTTGGGAAGCCAAGGCGGGTGGATCAACTGAGGTCAGGAGTTCGAGACCAGCCTGGCCAACATGGTGAAACCCCATCTCTACTAAAAATACAAAATTAGCCAGGCACGGTGGTGGGCCCCTGTAATCCCAGCTACTCGGGAGGCTGAGGCAGGAGAATTGCTTGAACCCATGAGGCAGAGGTTGCAGTGAGCCAAGATCACGCCATTGTACCACTGCACTCCAGCCTGGGTGACAAGAGCAAAACTCTGTACAAAGAAAGAGAGAGAGAGAGAAAGAAAGAAAGAAAAAGAAAGGAGGGAGGGACGGAGGGAGGGAGGGAAGAAAGAGAGAGAAAGAAAGAAAGAAAGAAAGAAAGAAAGAAAGAAAGAAAAGAAAGAAAGAAAGAAAGAAAGAAAAGAAAGAAAGAAAAAGAAAGAGAAAGAAAGAAAAAGAGAAAATAAAAGAATCAGGCCTGGAACCCAGCGCAGAGTCCCTTCTTGTGTAACCCTGAGGTCCCTCACTGAGCTCCAGAGCAGTCTCTCACCCTCCCTCCCCTACCTCCTTCCACATAAATTTGCACCCTCTTTGAAATCAGTGGCTTGTTTTCCCAGTCTTTCTGCCGGAAGTGTGATGGCGACCCTGCTGCAGAGGTTTCACGGAGAGAAAGAGGGAGCATCACAGCTCGGTAACCAAAATGCAGTGTGAAATGGTAGGAGACAGTTCACTCTTCAAGTCATCAGGGAGACATTTCACCTGGCACAAAGGCAGCTTACTTAGTGGACCATAATGGCCTGGAAGAGTTCCTGCCCCTCCCTGAAGTGAGCAATTTCCTCTGTTCAGCTCTGTCTGCACTGGCCCATTATATCCTAAACACACGGTGCGTTTACCTAGCAATTATCTGGAGTGGGAGCCAGCCCTTTCAAGAGGTCCTCTTTGATCCTTCCTAGGAATATCCTGGGAGGTGGGTGGGCAGACGGAGGGCCTCTTGCTGGAGGAGGGAAAGTAAGGCACACAGAGGGTTCCAACAGTGTCCCGGAGTCAGGACTGGGTCTCTGGGACCCCTGGCCACCTAACCCCCACCCCTGCATTCTGCCCTCTTGGACTTCGCTGCTGCCCTGGCAGGTAGAGGACTTTAAAGAATCCCAGCTTGCTCCTCCCCAGGCCAGTGAAGGAGGTGCTTCTTATTAGAGGTGGATAAAGGTAAAGTGCCTGAGGATCTTTGGGATGGAAAAGCTTTTGTGCTCATTCGAGGTCCTGGATATCTTGGATGCCCTACGTTCAAATGCTCTGTTCTACCTGCTTGTAAGTTCATGTACTTATTGAAATTTATATTCTGATTTTTGATTCCGAAGATAGAGACATTACACTTACTTTGAAATGGAATTCTTCACCCCCACTACCTGATATCCAGTGTTGGACCACACAAAACCCTCTTTAGAAAGAACAGAATCAACTCAATCACACCAGCCTGTCATCTAGGGTGCCTGCAATGGGGCTGAGCAAGGACTTGGGAACTAGTTCTGAGTTTGAATCTCAGCTCCCAGCACCATAATTAAGGGTGTTTTCTAATTTCAGCGCCCATGGCTCCTCCCTGCACTCCTGTTTCAGAGCACTCGCCTCCAGGCTCTCCTTTGCTTGCCTCGGGGCCTTTCCACGCACGCTTACTTTTCTCTGGAATGCTCTTCCCTGTGAGAGCCACAAGCCTACCCCCTTCCCTTCTTCAGACCCTTGCTCAATGCCATTGTAGCGGCGTCATTTGTCTGGGGTAATATGCGAGCTTTGTTGTCTCACACCAGGGAAATCAAGGACGCAGATGCACAAGAAGTGAGTTTAAGAGCAGACATTTAATAGGCGAAGAAAGAAAAGAGAATAGTTCTCTCTCCTACAGAGAGAGAAAGAAGGACTCCTGAGTGGGTTTTCTGGTTCTGTGGTGAAATGCATGGAGTTTTATAGGCGAGCTTGAGGAGGTGGTGTCTGATTTACATAGGGCCTGCGAGATTGGTAGGACCAGGTGCACTATTCGCATAGCGCACAAAGAAGCTGGCCATCCCACCCTAATCTTTTATTATACAGATGGAGTCTCTACCTGGCTGGCATGGGTTGCCTGCCTTTCTACTTCACATGTGGTTACAAAGAAAAGGGAAGAGGGAACCTCCCATGTTGAACACACCTGGCCCCCAGGTAGCCTTTTCCTATAGGCACAGCTGCCGGCATTTACCTATGCAAGCTTCCAGCTTGCTTATTTATGTCTGCAGATTGATTTTACAGGTGGCTCTTTGTTAGAAAAGAAATGATTTGGGGCCTGCTTTTTGTTAAAAGGGAAGCCTGACTGAGGACTCTCTTACCCTCATCAACTGCCTAAATAATTTCTTTTTAGCTTCTTTATCACCATCATGTGGAGGCTTTCCATGACCACTCTCTCTAAAACTGCAACCCTCCCCTCCCTCTCTCCATCATCTCCCTTGTTTTATGTCTCTCAATGACACTTATCTCCCTCTGGCATTTCATATAATTCACTTGTACTTTTTGTTGATTGTCTGTCTGCCCCAACTACAATGAAAGCTCCATGAGGGCAGGGATTTTTGTTGCCTTTATTCATTGCCATATCCCCAGAGTCCAGAATGGAATCCAGCCCCTTGGTAGGAGCTTAACAAATATAAATGAATACATAAATTTGAGCAAGTAACTTACCAAGCTCATGTCCTGTCTCTCTTAAAAGGATGGCATGAGAATTAAATACAATATCATTGCTATAGGGAAAAATAATGGCCAACATATATTGAGTGCTTATTCAGTGCCAGCTTTTAAATGTGCTAAGTGCTTTACATAAATCACCTTATTTAGTCCCCACAAAAATCCTATGAGGCGAGTATTCTTTTAACCTTCATTTTACAGGTGAGGAAACTGAGGCTTAGAAAAGTTGGGTCACCTATTCAAGGTCACGCAAAATTCAGACCCATATTTGTATGAGCTCAGAACCAGTACTATTTTTTTTTCTTTATTATTTTAAGTTTTGGGGTACATGTGCAAGATGTGCAGGTTTGTTACATAGGTAAACGTGTGCCATGGTGGTTTGCTGCATCTATCAACCCATCACCTAGGTACTAAGCCCCGCATGCATTAGCTATTCATCCTGATGGTCTCCTTCCCCCACTGCCCCCAACAGGCCCCAGTGTGTGTTGCAGAACCAGTACTATTGACCCCAACAATGTATGGCCATGGCCTTGTGTGTAACCATAGCTTGACTAGTGCTAATTCTCTTCTCCAAAGCACATAGCGCAGCAGACCTGCACTGTCTGTCTGGCCTCTTCTTTTGGGAGCCTGTTCCTTCTGCTGATACCTGACATCTTGGAAGCATCCGCTGGTCTCAGGAGGCAGTGTGGTGTGGCAATGAGATGGCAAGTTTATTAACTGGGTGACCTAGGTTCTAACACCTCCTTTGCCCCCAGATTACTGTGTGATCTTGGGCAATTGCTTCCCCTCCGTGGGCCGGGTTCTGATGGTATAATGAGCACTGAGGTCCCTCCCAGCTTGAACAGTGCTGGGACTATTGGAGGACTCCACAGGGGTGTGTGGTTTGTGACTCATCTCAGAGGATCCTGCCCCCCCAGCTGTGGCCTTGGCCCAGATCTGCTCATGAATGTAGAGTCTCCTGCTTTGATGATTGCTGGGCTTTCCCTCCCACACCTCTTGAGCTTGAATTTCAGGTTGCTGGATTTGAGTGGGAGGTTGGAGGAAGTAACCATCTAGTGATTTTCTAATCCCTTCTCTAGGGGAAAGCCCAAGAGAAAGAAAAGGAAGGCATGAGAATCATTCCCACCCAACATGGCACAGAGTCATTGCAGGAAATACAGTTCTCTCTGGGGAGCCCAGCACCCTGCAAACCTCAGGGACTGCTATAGCAAAGGACATCTGCCCAACAGCCTCTTTCCCATTCCCCAGACCTGCCTTCTGCCAAAAGCGTCCCAAGGATCCCCTTCTTCACTGACCCTAAAACTGTCTCATTTGAATTTCAAGTTCTTTTGTTGTTGTTGTTTGTTTGAGACAGGGTCTCACTCTGTCACCCGGGCTGGAGTGGCATAATCACAGCTCACTGAAGCCTCGACCTCCCAGGCTCAATTGATCTCCCCACTTCAGCCTCCTGAGTAGTTGGGACTACAGGTACACGCCACCACCCCCGGCTAATTTTGGTATTTTTTTGTAGAGAAGGGGTTTCGACATGTTGCCCAGGCTGGTCTCAAACTTCTGGGCTCAAATAAGGTGCACACCTCGGCCTCCCAAAGTGGTGGGACTACAGGTATGAGCCACCATGCCAGACCGAGTTTCAGGTTCTAAACTGAGAAATCATTTTTTTCTCCTTGTGAAATGGAGGATGAATAAGCCAAGCTAGGCAATGGCTTGAGTTGTTTTCCTCAATTCATTTATTCATTCATCCATTCATTCAACATTTATGTGCTAGAATCTTTGCCAGAAACTAAAAGAGGAAATTAATTGGGTCCTGGCAAACTTAAATTGGGTAATTGGTAATTTGAGGAGAATTTAATAAAGAGACTATTTTCAAAGGGGAGGGCAGAGTGCAGGAAAACAAGGGGTAGTGCTGTCTCTTGGAGCCAGTAACATCAGGAAGATATTATCAAGCCTAGGCTGAAGGGATAAAGGGAGAGACAATTCCCAGAATCCAGAAGTAATGAGTCAGATGGAGAGGGCCACTGGGCAGAAGCTGTGCTTTGGTTGAAGGGCTCATCTAGCTGGTGAAATGATGACCTTGACCTTGACTTCACCCTCTTCTCTGCAGTGGCTGAATTCCATTTATGTATTTACTGCAGGTCAGCCTCCTGGGGCTCACAGGAGGGCAGAGAAGGGCAGGGAGGGGATATGGAAGAAAAAACAGATGACTTGTAGCACAGAAACCAGACAGTTTCTGTCCCCAAGGAGCCTGCATACAGTGGGGGAGCAGCAGTGCAAAGCTGAATGAATGCTTTAATAAATATATGAACAAAGTATAAGAGGAGCACAGGTGTTAGGAAATGAGCTGTCAGGAAGGGGTTAATGTGCCTGAAGGTGAGGGAGACAGTTGGTTCCAGGGAAGAAGATCCAGAGGAATTGGTTCTCAAGGGCTGATTAGGCTTCTTCAAGGAGGTAATGTCTAAACTGAGATTTGCAATATCAACAGAAATTAGCCAGGAGGCGTCCAAACATGGTGAAAAACGTGTAAAAGCTGGAGGTATAGAGTATAGAGCTCTTTGGGAAACTGTAAATGAAGAATAAAGAGTGTAAGGTGTGTAGGGGGTGGGCAGGAGATGAAGTGGAGTAGAGAAGAAGGACCCAGGGGTGAAGAATTATTTTGCCCGACTAAGGACTTCGAAAATGTGTCTAAGGCCAATGGCAAGTTTTTAAAAGGTTTTCATCAGAGGAGTGGTAGCATTGTGTTTATGTTTTAGAAAATCACTTTGATTGAGGGGAAAAGAGTGGGTTAAAGGCAGGTGGATTAGAAAGAATATTGTTTTTGTAATCTAAATGAGAGATGACAGCAGCCCAAAATAAACTGGTAGAAGAGGGGATGGAAAAAGGTATTAAGAAGTCAAACTGGATGGGATTTGGGGACTGAATATAGGAATTTAGGAAGACTTTAGTTCTGGGGAGATGGTGATATGGTTCACTGAGATGAGCTTAAGAGAAGGAACAATGTGTGTGTGTGTGTGTGTATGTGTGTGTGTATTGAGGAGGAGAGTGAATCATGGTGGAGAAGATGTAGGGGATTGACAAATTATCCAGTTTAGAGCATATTGAAGTGATGATACTAGGAGGATAACCAAATAGACCTGTTAGTGCTTTTTTTTTTGAGGTGGGGTCTCACTATGTTGCCCAGTCTGGAGACCAGTGACTATTGACAGGCATGATCATAGTGCACTGCAACCTTGACCTCCTAACCTCAAACAATCCTCCCTGCTCAGCCTCCTGAGAAGCTAGGATTATAGGTGCACACCACCATGGCTGGCTCTGTTAGTGCTTTGGACAAGCTGTTTAGAAGAGGTGTGAGTGGAAGCTATGGATTTGAGAACCATCAGATGCAAACGATGATTGCAGCAGTGGAGTCCATGAGATCACCGTGGAAAGAGCTTAGAGTGAGGAGAATAAGACTATAGAATGCTGACTTTTAAAGGATGGCCGGAGGTAGAGGAACTCAGGAGATGAAGGAGTGGCCTGAGAAGAAGGAAAAGAACTTAGAGAGAGTGGTCTTAACAGCCAAAGAGAATATTGAGTTCTAAGGGGAAGCAAGAGGAGGAGTAACATGTCAAAACATTGCTGAGTGGCCCTGTGCACAGGAGTTAGTTAACGGTATGATTAGCCTTTCTCTTTCTGAGTCTTTTAATCAGATAGATAAGAAGTATTTCCTGGGCATCTATAGTATGCTTATTATGGCTAAATTGTGTCCCCCCTACAAATTTATAGGTTGAAGTCAGAACCTCCTGTTCCGCAGAATGTGACTGTTTGGAGGTAGAATCTTTATCTATCTGCTTGGGCTGCCATAACACAATACCACAAACTGGGTGGCTTAAACACCAGAAGTGTATGTTTTTCTCAGTTCTGGAGACTGGAAGTCCCAGATCAAGGAGTAGCAGGGTCCGTTTCTGATGAAGGCTCTCTTCTTGGCTTGTAGATGACTGCCTTCTCTCTGCGTCCTCACATAGTGGATGGAGAGTGAGTGATGTGTCTTCTTTCTTTATTTTTATTTTTTAAGACAAGGTCTGGCTCTATCGCCCAGGCTGGAGTGCAGTGGCGCAATCTCAGCTTATTGCAACCTCTGCCTCCTGGGCTCAAACGATCCTCCCACCTCAGCCTCCTGAGTAGCTGGGACTACATATATGTGACACCATGCCTGACAAATTTTTGTATTTTTTGTAGAGATGGGGTTTTGCCATGTTGCCCAGGCTGGTCTGGAACTCATGACTTCAAGCAATCTGCCTGCCTCAGCCTCCCAAAGTGCTGGGATTGCAGGCATGAGCCACTGAGTCCAGCAGATGTCTCTTCTTATAAGGACACTAATCCTATCAGAGAAGGGTTTCACCCTCATGACCTCATCTGACAATAATTAATTCCCAAAGGTCCTATCTCCAAATGCCAGCAACATATGAATTTTAGTGGGGATACAAACATTCAGTACCTAACATTTCCCAATATTTGTTCTCTGATCTGTGATAACAGAAGGTTCAGCTGGGCACTTTGCCACATAACTAAAGATATTTCTGGGCCAGGTGCAATGGCTCATACCTGTAATCCCAACACTTTGGGAGGCTGAGGCGGGAGGATTTCTTGAGCCCAGGAGTTTGAGACCAGCCTGGGCAACACAGCAAGACTCTTTCTCTACAAAAGAAAAAAGAGAAGAAAAAAATTAGCCAGGCATGGTGGTGCATGCCTGTAGTTCCAGTTGCTTGGGAGGCTGAAGTAGGAGGATCACTTGAGGTGGGAGGATGGTACCACTGCACTCCAGCCTGGGTGACAGATCAAGACTCTGTTTCTCAAAAAAAAAAAAAATATATATATATATATATATATAAACTATATATATATATAAGCTATATATATATATAAAAACTATATATATATAAGCTATATATATATATATATATATATATATATATATATATATATGGTTAGAGCATATTGAAGTGATGGTACTAGGAGGATAACCAAATAGACCTGTTATTACTTTTTTTTTTTTTGAGATGGGGTCTCACTATGTTGCCCAGTCTGGAGTCCACACTGGCATGATCACAGTGCACTGCAAACTTGACTTCCTAACCTCAAACAATCCTCCCTGCTCAGCCTCCTGAGAAGCTAGGATTACAGGTGCACACCACCATGGCTGGCTCTGTTAGTGCTTTGGACAAGCTGTTTAGAAGAGGTCTGGGTGGAAGCTATGGATATATATATATATATATATCTCCATGGAGATATATATATATAATATAGCTATGGATATATATATAAATATATGTATATATTTCGCAGTCTCCTTTGTAGTTGGGTGTGATCATGTGACTAGGCTCTGGCCAATAGAATGTGAGTGGAAGTGATGTGTACAGCACCGCAATGGTACCCACATAAGGAAAGAGGCATATTCTCCCCTTCCACCCTTCTTTCCTTCTTGCTGCCTGGAAGGGCAGACATGTGGTGGTGGGAGCTGGAACAGCCATCTTAGACCATAGGATGGAAACCTTGTGTTGAGGTTGGCAGAACATGAAGCTGGAAAGAGCCTGTACACCAGACACCACGTGGGCACTCTATCAGCCAGGACTGATTTTATGTGGACTATTACTTGTTTAATCCACTATTATTTTGTTCCTTATAATAACAAGTAAATGGCTATTCTAATATATCTAGGATGGGGCTAAACCATGGTAGAATCTCCGGTTTGTACTGTACACAATGGGCCCCATCCCATTGTGCTATTATCATGTGCTAGGTATTGTGTTAGGTCTGTGTTACATATTAGAATTATTTTATCTAATTCTCCCAATGGCTCTGTAAGGTAGGCATTATTAGCCCTGTGTTAATGTTGAGGAAACTAGGCTTCAGAGAAGTTATGTCATTTACCCAAAGGAGCTCTGTCAGTAGGTGACAGAGTCAGGAGTTGAATCTAGGTCAGTGGTTCTTAACCAGAGGCAACTTTGTCACCCAGGAGACATGTGGCACTGTTGAGAAATTTTTGGTTGTCACAAGTAGGAGTGGGGAGGGATGCACTCAAGGGTAGCAGGAATGCTGCTGAACATGTAAATATGCACAGGACAGGTCTCACAGTGAGGAATTATCTGGCCCCAAATATCAACTGTGCCGAGGCTGAGAACCCTTGAGGACCCGTCTATGAAAAACTCGGGCTCCTTCCATTACACCAAATTGGGAAATGGAAGTTAAAGAGGGAGTTATGAAAAATAATAGAGAATAATGTCGTGAAAATAATATTTTAGGAAGCTAAACCTGGAGTGGTGAGAGGAATGAGCTGGAGATGGGAGAAACTGAAGCTAAGAAGACTATTATTGGAAGCCACAGACTGGTCCAGGTGAGAGGCAGGAAGGACCTGGAGGGGTGGATGGCTGAGGTCCATAAAGGGAAGACAAGTTAAGTGCCAGTGGCAAGAACTTGACTGACAGCAGGTAGAGGATGCCAGAGGCAGGGAGAAGTGAAGGCAGACAAGGCAGTGGTGATTTCTCTTCTCCATGTGCATCCCCTCTTCCTCCCCTTCCTCCTCCTCCCCTTCCTCCTCCTCCCCTTCCTCCTCCTCTTCCTCCTCCTCCTCTTCCTCCTCCTCCTCTTCCTCCTCCTTCCTCTTTCTTCTCACCCCCCTCCTCTTCCTCCTTTCCCCTCTTCCTCTTGTTCCTCCTTCTCCTCCTCATCCCCTCCTCCTCCACTTCTTCCTCCTTTTCCCCCCATCCCTCCCTCTTCCCCCTCTTTTCCCTACAGCTCCCTGCCCCATTGGCATCTGCTTCTATCTTCCTTCTCGCTAACCCCTTTGTCTAATGGGCATGCTCTGTTTTCCGCTGACCCCTAGTTCTAGGCCATGGGTCCCAACCCCAGCAAATGCATGGAAAAATCTTGGTTTCCTCAGCTTTGTTCACTGTGACAAGAAAGAGTGAGCTCCCACAGTGACAGCAACAGACTCTGACACATCTTTTCAATCTTACTTCTCTTTCCATTTCCTTTAAAACTTTTGGCCTTAAAAACTTTGACCAGTGTGTAGGATTGTTATAGAGACAGACAAGTGGTCCAGGAAAGAAACTCAGGGAATTTCCGACATGAGGGAAGAGGAAGGAAATCCTTTGTCTCACATTTGTTGTTTCCTTTGGAGTGTTTTCCAAAGGACACTGGCCTGTTGACAAGGCATCCCAAGGGCTTTGGGGCTGGCCCTTCCTTTTCCTTGTCCCTGGTCTATGTCTGTCCTTGTAGCCTGGTGCCTGCTTCAGGGCTGGGAGCTGGGGTTGCCAGATGTGCTCTGAACCCTGCTGGCAGAAGCACTTGTGTTTGGCCTCTGTCTCTGCTTCCCTGCCCTTCTCTTCCCCAGGTCCTCGGTAGCCCTGTTGAAAGGCCAGTGGCTTCTCATGCTTTCAGAAAAATTTAGACAATAAAGAGGCTGCAATGATGAGCTGATTGCTTTCAGGCTGACAGCTAAAGTCTGTGTCGGCACTGAGTCAACCATCAAGAGGGAAGGTGAGCACCTTCCAGCTAATGCTGGGTTCCCAGCTCCTCCCATTGGCTTGTGAGACGTGCTATGTCCATTTTGTCTCTTCTCTCCCTTCAGCCTGTGTGCATTCCTCTCCTCTGGGCCCACTGCTCACCTGCTCTCATTCTGTTCTTTAGTATTCTGTTCTCTCTCTCATCCCACACTATCTTCAAAGAGAGCCAGGCCTTGGAGAACGGAGGGAAGTCCAAGTTCCCCTTTGGCTTCTGACTCCCAGTGTCCCCTTTCTGTGCCCTTTGCTCACCCTCTTTCCAGGATCTGCCTCCTCCATGCTTCTCCACCCATAGCATCACTGCCTATTCCTAGGAAGGATTTGGATACCAGTCATGTGTATCTTCAGCAGCCTCATGGCATGATGTTTTGGAACACACATGCACTTGGGAACTTAGTAGCTTGGGTTGAAATCTGGGCCCTGTTCCTTACATGCAACTTTGAATATGTTAACAAAAGTCTCCATGGGCAAGTTTCCTCAATCTGTAAATTGGGGCTAACAGTATATATCATGTGATTGTGAGGATTAAATGAGTAATGTATGTAAATACTTTGGACAGTGCCTGGCACTTGAGGAGTTTTATAAAAATTAGGTATTACTACCATATGAATACAAATGAATGTGCTGTACCTCAATAAGGAGATCGGTGAGTAGGAGAGGCCCCCTTCCGTGCCATGGCAAGCTCAATCAAGGGCCACCATGGGGTGACCAGGCTGTGGGAATGGCCAGATCCATGCGTGCTGCCATCAGCATGGCCAGGTGAACGTTGGTGATGACCAGAAAAGGCTGAGCCAAATGCTCAAATCAGCACAGTGGGCTTGAGACTTTGGGAGCCACTGTGGAGAAGAAGAGCACAGTTGAGATAGGGAATGGAAGGTAGGTTCTGCACAGGCAGGCGTGATGTCATTCCTCCTGTCACTGGGCTGCAGGGTGAGCATCAAGCCAGCCATGCAGGAGAACAGAAAGTGCACCCTGCTGTAGAGGGGTGTGGGGGTGTGTGCATGGCCAAATAGAAGACGTGTTGCTTCCCTAGGAACCTGCTAGCGGACTGGTAGGAGGGACCGCAGTGTGTGAAGCACTGATTGCCAATAAAAACCATTTCGTTGTCACCTCCCTCCATATCCTGTGCCCTTGTTCTGGTCCTCAATGCAATTCATAGGCTTTTCTTTCCCCTCCCAGGAAAGGTCCCTGGGCAAAGCCTGTGACCACAGCCACACCTGTAGGTGTGTGAATTACCGTCTTCTATGTGTCTTCTTTGCTTTCTCTAAAAGGGAGGGATGGAAAGCTTTTCTTTTTAATTTTTATTTTTTTGACAGGGACTCACTCTGTCTCCTAGACTGGAGTGCAGTGGTGTCATCATAGCTCACTGCAGTCTCTGCCTCCTGGCTCAAACGATCCTCACACCTCAGCCTCCTAAGTAGTTGGCACTGATAGGTACATGACTGCCATGCCCAGCTTTTTTTTTTTTTTTGTAGAGATGAGGTTTCTCCATGTTGCCCAGGCTAGTTCTGACTTTTATGAAAGACACAGTATCATTACCCAGCAGGATGACAGATGTTAGAGATCCAGGACCTCCTCCTGGTGCTCCCTGGCTCAGTGGTGGGGCTATCTTCCCAAGGGAGAAGTGGCAGATGGCACACAGGGTTCCCCCGCTCAAGGCTTTTGGGGCACCGTTCATCCTGGGGCATCACTCACATCTGCAGTCCCAGGAGTTGCACAGGGTGCAGATTTGCCCGGGGACCCCAGCCTCAATTGGGCTCAAAGGGACTCTGCCTCAGGATCCCTTCCTCCCTGTTCTTGGCTGTCTTTTGTGAAGAGCTGTGGGTGGGGGAAGGTGACCGTGGGGACTGAGAGCAATCAAATTGAAATGCAGGGCTAAGAGAAGCCATTGCTTTGGGCAGAAAGAGAAAATTCATGGCAGAGGGAAGAGCAGGTCCCAAGCTTCCCCACCACCCCCCATGTCCCCGCTCTCACCTCAAGCTTCAGAGGGCAGGATCCTGCCTTGGAGATGATGTACCAACACAGCTACCTCCCCACCAGTTCATTAGGAAGACAAATGCCTGAGCCAAATTCCTTAGGATTTGCCAAGAACCAATTCCTTAGGATTCTTTTTCTGGCAACTTCCATAGCATTGCCAAGCTAATGGAGGGATCCCAGGGATATATCTGATGCCTGGAGCAACAGGAAATGCGGGAGCCCACAAGACGATCAGTCAGGTGTGTGCACCTAGCACAGTGGCAATGCCCAGTGTCCTGATACAGACCTTTGTAGTTCCCTTGGGCTCAGGAGGAACCATAATGCCAAATGACACAGTCACATGGAAGGGCAGGGCTGCAGCCACAGTGACTCAGCAGGAAAAGAGTTAGTTCCCCAGAAGGATCTAGCTTGAGGAATATCTGAGGCCAGAGTGTAGCGGTTGGTCTGTTTGCTTTTACATTCTGCAACCCATTTATTGATAAAACTGTTGTGTTTTTCAATGTTAAGTAAAATGCTATGCAAAAGTATCCTCAAGCCAAGTCCCCTAGCTCCAGGGGTGATTATCAAAATAATGCCAGAAATTAATGTTTTTATGCAAGGATGTCGAGGAGGTCCTGGAGTCCAGGGGAAGGGGCCTTGGGTGGTTCAGGGTAGTGCCATTTACCAGCCTGGAGGAAAAGCAGTTTAATATTTTCAACAACCTATATTGATACACATGTGTTGGCTGAATGTCAGCCCTGCCTAGCCCTCACCTCAAACTGACCCTCACCTCAAACTGAAGCTTTATTGCATAAGCATTGTGGTACTTACTCTTGCCTGAATATTGAAGAAACCCCATTCCTCATCTCCAAATCCCTCATATGGCTGTTTCTCCAATGTGAGTTTCAGAAGACTCTGAAGTGTGAGAAATCTCTCTGCTTTGACCAGTCTTTTGGGCAAGGCCTCATGTGTCAATAAGGGTGTGTCTCCTTCCTTTCCAGCTCAGTCCCAACTATTTTCTTTCATATAACACGTACTGTCCAGTGGAACTTCTTGCTCTTTCTTTTCACACACACCCTAAGCATTCATGTCTGTAAGCCTTTGCTCCTGCAGTTTCCTCTACCCGGGTGCCTTTTTCTCTTCTCTCCTTGTGTCCAACTCATGGTCATCCTTTAAGGCCTTTGCAAATGCCACCTTTTCCAGGAAAGTCTCCAACTATTCCTCTCTTCATAAATGATCTCTCTCTGTCCTGTGACATCTTAAAACAATTTTTTAAAACTTCAGTATGGCACTTTAGAATTTTGTCATCATCATTACTGACATCATCAACATCATCATTATTTGGCTGGATTCATTGAGAATCTACTATGCGCCATGAAAATATTCTGTGCTCTACAGTCTCATTTGCTTTTCTGTCTTGTAAAAATAATTATGTATGTATGTATGCATGTTTTCTTCCTTTCTAGCATACAGTAATAAAGCAAATGGAATTTGGAATCAGATTTGGGTTTGGACCCGAGTTCCATTATTTGGTTGTAGGACTTTAGGCAAATTACTCAGGCTTCCTAAACTTCAGCTTTCTTGTTGGTAAAACACTGATAATAACACTTACCTCATAAAGGGTAATTGTATTACATCAAATAATAATAATAATTGCCAGCATTTGTTCAGTGCATATTATATGCTGGGCAGTGCTCCAAGTACCAATTCTGTATTATTTAATAATTTAAATCCTCACAGTAACCCTATGAAATAACTAATAGTACCCTTACTGTACGGAGGGAGAATCTAAGGCAAAGAAGCCAGTCAGTGGAAAGCTAGAATAAGAATTTTGACTTTAGAATCCTCACTTTTTTTTTTTTTTTTAACTGAGTCTCACTCTATTGCCCAGGCTGGAGTGCAGTGGCACTACCTCAGCTCACTGCAACCTCTGCCTCCCAGGTTCAAGCAATTCTCCTGCCTCAGCCTCCCGAGTAGCTGGGACTACAGGCACCCGCCACCATGCCTGGCTAATTTTTGTAGAGATGGGGTTTCACCATTTGGCCAGGCTGGTCTCAAACTCCTGACCTCAAGTGATCTGCCCACCTCGGCTTCCCAAAGTGCTGGAATTAGAGGCGTGAGCCACCACGCCTGGCCAGAATCCTCCCTTTTAATCATTACCAACAAATGCCTCTGTAGGGTGGATGATACCTGGCCTGGGCTGGATATTGTCTGGACGGTACGTAGCCCAGTATCTGGCAAGTATTTCAAAATTGGCAGCTGTAATTCTTATTCCCATTCTTACTGCTCAGGGCTGGGGTCTATCCTGTGCATCTCTGTTTCTCCACAGCACCTCATAACACTAAGAGCTTGCATTTGTTTAGCATTTTCCATGTGCCAGGGACTGTGCTAAGCCTCTAGCCCTAGCAAATGAATAAATGAGTGATTGAATAAATGAATGAATGAAAAGATTAGACAAAAGCTCTTGAACAGTGGGCAAAGACTATCTGAAAAGAGGATTCATCCCTTCCAGTTTACTTGCCAGGCAAAAAGATGAAGGGATGGAGGAGAGGCCTCCCAGGGACCTGAATAACTCCCAGTATTCATCAGTATTTTCATTAACGACTTGAAAGATGGAGTGCAGAGTATGCTAATCAAATTGGTGAAGCCTGCGAGGCAGAATAGAAGCTGAGCACTTATGAGGGAAGCTGGAGCTTGCAGACAGTACTTGACAAATTGGAGAAATAAACAGAGTTAATAAACAGAGCTTCAGGAGCTGCAGACTTCAAGTGGCTCCAAGGGATCAGCTGTCACTAATGGATTTGCCCAGAGAGATCTTTGACCCTCTTTTCCTTGGTCTTTGCCTGGCTTGACTGCATCTTTGGAGCAAGCCTGCCTGAGGGGTACACAGTTTCCTTGATGAGGGGACTTATTTGGGCCTGGAAGCCTGATGGGCAAAGTCCCCACTTCAAAAGCTAAGCTGTCCCCACACTTCTTCCTGGCCTGTGACTTGCTCACCTAACCCATCTGCCTGGCTGTGTCTCCATGGAGAGAAGGGGCTGGCTCCACCTGCTCCCCAAAAGAATCAAGACTCAGTAAAACCATAAACTGACCCCACATTGCCTGATCCCTACCCACCAAAATGGTGCTGCCCTTCTCTACTTCCTATACATTCCTGTCGTCAACTTCTTTTCCCATTTGAGGCTGCCCTGGAGGTGATTCTGACCTTGGCTTTTCTTGGGAAAATGTACTGGCGTGAAAGGAGGGGAAATGAGACAGTGCGATCTGCTGGGGAAGCTCCACCTCTGCCCTGCCAACCTCTAGGAAGAAGACAAAGTCTGAGTGGTTTGGCAGTTATAGGAATGTGCAGGCGTTAGAGTCCCAGCTTCATCCTTCTTAAGTTACGTGGTGTTAGGTAAGTTTTTTTAGCTTCTCTGAGTCAAGCTCTTTTGGTTACAAACAATTGAAAGACACTTGGTTTATCTTTTTTTTTTTTTTTTTTTTTTTTGAGACGGAGTCTCGTTCTGTCGCCCAGGCTGGAGTGCAATGGCGCAATCTTGGCTCACTGCAGCCTCTGCCTCCTGGGTTCAAGCAATTCTCCTGCCTCAGCCTCCCGAGTAGCTGGAACTACAGGTGTGCACCGCCACATCTGGCTAATTTTTTGTATTTTTTGTAGAGACGGGGTTTCACCACGTTGGGCAGGATGGTCTTGATCTCCTGACCTTGTGATCCGCCCATCTCGGCCTCCCAAAGTGCTGGGATTACAGGTGTAAGCCACCTCACCCGGCCTTCTTCTTTCTTGATTGGCCTCAGGGTGCCTATGACCAGACACTGATGTTCCAGTCCCACCTTTATGAAGAGGCTAACAGGGAGGACAAATATCTCTGTATCCAAATCCATATTTCTGGGAAAATGATACTGACTGGCCCCACTAGAATCAGGTTTCTACATTGGCCCAATCAGTCAGGGCTGGCCTGAGGAGTGGAGGGTGGTGTTGCTGGGTACCAACAGGCCAGCAAGGGCCCATCTTTTTGGGTAGGTGAAAGTTCTCAGAGAAGAGAAAATCACCCAATTAGGTGTTCAATGCAGTCTCTGAGCCTCAATTTTCTCTTGTGAAAAATGGGGATAATATTACATGTCTCATAAGAATTGAATAAAATATTCTATGTAAAATGCTTAGCATAGTGGCTGATACATAGTAAGGGCTGCCAGTTGAACAATTGCTCTTTATTCAAGATAAACCTCACTGGAGTTGGTAGGAAGATCCCTGAGGTAGTGTGGGCTTGGGAGGGGAAGGGTAGCACAGAAGGCACAGGCTGGAGCGATGAGAGTGTGAGGAATGCATCTCCATTCATTTGTCCACTGGGGGAAACAGGGTTGTAAACCATCGGAGGTGTGGACACGCAAATGTTGTTCCTTCAGGAGGCCTGACTCCTAATTCCCAGCTGGAGAACAGGCCAGTGCTACCATGTCATGGGTTTAAGCACCCAAACCATCCGTTCATTTATTCTTTCATTTAACAGATATTAATTGAATACCTACTATGTGCCAACCTACTAGTTGCTGGAGATATAGCATATTTGCATTCTAGTAGGAGAGAAAGACAGTAAATAAAGATAAACAAGTAAAATATATGTTACTGGCAAGTGCTAAGGAGAAGGCATAAAGTGGGAAGAGGTATGTGACATGTCAGCCAGGTAAGTGAATGTTAACATTTTAAATGGGGTAGCCAGGGAGAGCCTTACTAAGAAGGTATCTTTTGATTAAAGACCTTGAAAGAAGTGATGGAGCTAGTCATGTTGTCTGGGGGGTGGGGGTTAGGGTGGGGAAAGATAATTTCAGGTAATGGGAACAGCCAGTGCAAAGGCCCTGAGGTGGGAGCCTGCTTGGCACCATTAAGGAATCACAGAGAGGCCAGTTATCGCTGAAGCAGATGGAGAGAGCAGGTCAGAGTATTATAGGACCCAATGATGTTGGACCCTGTAGTTCATAGTAAAGTACTTTAGCTTTTACCATGAGTGAGGGGGAAGCCATTGGAGGATTTTAAGCAGAGGAGTGACATGATCTGAATCAGGTTTAACAGGATCGCTCTGGAATAGAGTGCAGGGGTCAAGAACAGAAGTAGTGAATCCAGTTAGAGGGTAATGCTAGGGGAGCTAGAGTTATGTCTTGGAGTGGGGTGGTAGTAGGAGTGGTAGAAGTAATCAGATTCCAGATATATTTTGAAGTTAGAACTGACAGAATTTGCTCAACTACTGCTTTGGCCTGCTAGCAGTGACATCAATTCCAATTCCAGGCCCCCAAGGTGTAAGTTGGTACACAATCCTTCTTCCTGCCACCCGGTCCTTCCAAAACATGTGTGTCAAACACTCTCAGAGGTCACCCCCATTTCCATGGAGACCTGAGGTTTAGAGGACTCCCTGGGGTCACAGCCATGGCTACTGGAGTCAGGAAGCTCTGAAGCTCTCAAGAAGCATGAGGGATTTTGATGGTGGCTGCAGCTGTCTTTCAATTTAGTGACCTGACGGTGGTCTCCGAAAGTCACATCTTCTTTCCCTTTTTAGTTTTGGGGTGCCTATTTAGGGGTCCCAGGATTGAGTTGCCAACCCAGGAACAAGTTGCCAACCTAAAAGGGCATGGAAGAACCAAGAACCATTAAGAAGTACTGAACTTGGAGTCTCCAAAAAATCGGTTTGTGTCCCAGCCCTGTCACCATGGGCCTTAGTCTCTTTAAAGGGGGTCCAATTAGATGAGCTTCTTTCAAGCTCTAAAGGTCTGTGAAATTTGGGCAAGAAAAATGTCTTGTTGGCCAGGTGTGGTGGCTCACGCCTGAAATCCCAGCACTTTGGGAGGCCGAGGTGGGCAGATCACCTGAGGTCAGGAGTTCGAGACCAGCCTGGCCAACATGGTGAAACCCCGTCTCTACTAAAAATACAAAAACTATGGCCGGGCGCAGTGGCTCATGCCTGTAATCCCAGCACTTTGGGAGGCCGAGGCAGGCAGATCACCTGAAGTCAGGAGTTCAAGACCAGCCTGGCCAACATGGCAAAACCTCATCTTTACTAAAAATACAAAAATTAGCCAGGCGTGATGGTACATGCCTGTAATCCCAGCTACTTGGGAGGCTGAGGCAGGAGAATCACTTGAACCTGGGAAGAGTAGGTTGCAGGGAGCCAAGATCGTGCCATTGCACTCCAGCCTGGGCAATAGAGGGAGATTCCATCTCAAAAAAAAAAAAAAGTTTTGTTATCGGAGATATTTACATCTGTGGACTTTGGCTCCATCAGAGTCCTCATTTTTTCAAATGGAGCCTCCTATACATCAAGAGAGATAGGTGAATTGCATTTTTCTAAAATGGCATGATGACAGAGAGGATGCCTTCCAGCTAGACTAGCAGGCCTGGGCTAGGAAAGCTCATCACGCTTCCGTCAACAGGCCTCACTTCTGAGCTGGAGATGCTCATCTCGGAGGCCAAGGAGTGAGTCAACAGAATGAGGAGCGCGGGAAGGCGACACCAGCAGTTTCGTTTCCTTGTTCCTAGTTGCCTTTACTCTCATGTTTCTTGTGAGTTGCCTTTTCAGAAAACAAACGAAACTTCGTGATTAGCCCCAGGGCTGTATGCACGACAGAGGCACTGGGAGAGTTCTTGGGAAGGGAGCCTGTCTGTATTTTTGGTGCCACCAGGTCATTCTCCTTTCACGAGCTCTTTTGGGGCATCTGTCTGATGGGGGGAGCTGTAGAGAATTTGAGCTCTCCTAGCTTTGGACAAAGGGAATCCCTCTTTTGTGACAACACAGGGCCTGCCAGCCATCTTGAAACCAGCTTGGGAGTTGCTCCTTCAAGCTAATGACGTGAATGCCCCAATGCTCCCTTTGATGCTCCCGAACTGGTCATCATGGCCCTTAAGACTGAAAACTAAAAAAAAAAAGTCCTAAGCCCCTCAACCATATGAACAGATCCCCTCTTGGCCAAGGGAACCCTAGAGAAACCTTAAAAACTGAGTTCCCAGCCAGGATGGGATGGGAGGTCAGACACGCCTCCTTGTACGCCCTCCCTTTTGCAGTTTAGACACTGACCAACACTAATGTTAAAATAGAGACCATGGCCGGGCGTGGTGGCTCATGCCTGTAATCCCAGCACTTTGGGAGGCCGAGGCGGGCGGATCATGAGGTCAGGAGATCGAGACCAGCCTGGCTAACACGATGAAACCCTGTCTCTACTAAAAAATACAAAAGAATTAGCCGGGCATGGTGGTGGGCACCTGTAGTCCCAGCTACTTGGGAGGCTGAGGCAGGAGAATGGTGTGAACCCGGGGGGCGGAGCTTGCAGTGAGCTGAGATCGCACCACTGCCCTCCAGCCTGGGCAACAGAGTGAGACTCCATCTCAAAAAAAAAAAAAAAAAAAGAAAAAAAACAAGAGACCATAAGACTGATAGAACAGATCCATTGTGGTAATAAGATATCAAGTTACAGGCCAGGTACAGTGGCTTACGTCTATAAGCCCAGCACTTTGGGAGGCTGAGGTGGGTGGATCACCTAAGGTCAGGAGTTTGAGACCAGCCTGGCCAACATGGTGAAACCCCGTCTCTACTAAAAATACAAAATTAGCCAGGCGTGGTGGCACGCACCTGTAATTCCAGCTACTCGGGAGGCTGAGGCAGGGGAATTGCTTGAACCCAGGAGGCAGAGAGGTTGCAGTGAGTCAAGATTGTGCCATTGCACTCTAGCCTGGGTGACAGAGTGAGACTCAATCGCAAAAAAAAAAAAAAAAAAAAAAAAAATAGATACCACGTTATAAACAGGACCTAAGGCCATGCCAGGCAAGATTAAGTCATTCACCCCTACATTTAAAGAATAAACTATATCCCAACTGCCACAAGGGTTTTCTTCTCTAGTAATCAAGCACTGGCCTCTGGATAAGCAATATTGAAACAATTGTAGCTTGTCCACTGCCAGATGCTAATGGACCGACCTGTTCCACAAGCCAAAACTACAGCTTTGATTGAACAAGAGGCTGATTTCAGTAACTTTCTCCTGATAAGTGCCCACTCACCATGGACTGGTTCTGGCATTTACAGAGCCTGTGCACTTGTGTGACATCGTGTCCCTGCTTCAACTTTTGGACATATAGGGCTTAATTGCAGTGCATTTAAATGGTAAGTCTCCACCCCAAAATGAACATGGGACACATGTAAAATGCATGTTCAGTATGCATGCATCAGGACCCCCTTCATGAATATTTATAGTTCCTCCCATTACTTGTTGAATATATACACTCAGCCAAATTTACCCTTCAGCATAAATTTCTGTTCCAACTTCTTCTCCCTTGAAGGCCTGCTAACAGTCTCTGCCAAAGGCTACTTTCCAGCTTGTCAGGTTGGCCACCCTGCAGGCTGTAAACCTGTACCAGAAATAAAGCCTCTTCTCCAGACTTAGAGATCTCATGATTGTAAACCTGACAAGACCATATTTCCTGAATGGCCCCCGAATGAGTGATGCGGGCTTGCTGATGATGCTGTTTGGGTGTCTTGGAGGAAGATTCTTATACCATATAGTTGTTTTTTTTCCCAATTGAGACTTGGTGAACAAACTATGTCAGAATTACAGCTCACTTAGGGATTTTGCTTTATGATGCAAAAGCTGGGATGCTTAGACAATAATGAGATGGGTGAAATGCAAAATGAGAGCAGTGGAGGCTGAGGAAAGGAGAGGTTTTCATTAGGGCGACTTTAGGGCATAGGTCTGCCCTTGTCTTAAGCTTTGTGCAGGAGTAGGTGAAGCCGAAATGGCTCTAGCTATTCAACTTATTTTCTTTGCCCTTAATTTTTACTGAAACTCTTTTCTTTTTTGTGACACAGGGGCTCACTCTGTTGCCAAGGCTGGAGTGCAGTGGTGCAATCACAGCTCACTGTAGCGTCAACATCCCAGGCTCAAGCAATCCTCCCACCTCAGCCTCCTGAGTAGCTGGGACTACCAGCATATACCACCATGGCCAGCTATTTTTTTTAATTTTTAGTAGAGATGGGGTTTCACCATGTTTCCCAGCCTGATCTTGAATCCCTGGGCTCGAGTGATCCTTCCACCTTGCCCTCCAAAAATGCTGGGATTACAGACATGAGCTACTGCTCTGGGCCTATTGTAAACTCTTTCCCCTGGCTGTTCACTGTTGAGACCTCAGTGGGTTATGAACACTATTATATGCCTATCACCAAGGATGCAAAAATGAGTAAGACACATGGTCTTACTGGGCCTAATAGCATGTGCCTGTAATCTCAGCTGCTTGGGAGGCTGAGGCAGGAGGATTGCTTGAGCTCAGGAGTTCAAGACCAGCCTGTGCAACATAGTGAGACCCCATCTCCAAAAAAAAGAAGACACATGGTCCCTGCCCTTGAACTTTTGTCTAATGTGACAGACAAACATGTAAACTAATAATTAGATGCTCAACCCTTGGCTGAAGAGCCAGAGATTACCTTTTAAAAATTCAAGTTGGTTGTTCTTAGAATAAGCTAATTCTTATTCAGGTCACTGCCCAAATATTTTGTGGATGAACCTTTCTTTTATATTTTTAGCAAGATGCTATACTGGTTAAAAGACTTCACTTAAACACTTACCATACTCTTATCCCACATTTGCCTAGGTAAAAGCTCAAAATTTCCCCTCTGAACACCCATACTAACACCCCCATCTTGCTCTTTGTTCTTTTGAGTAGGCCCTTACCAGTCAAACGGTTTTGGTTCCCACCTCAAGATCATGGGATGTCTCAGTAGATGATAAAGAACTATTTGCTCCAGCTCCTATTATTGGCCTATACCTATGATCACAGCTTCCCAGTGCATCCCAGGTTCCTCTTCCTTAGTCTTCTACATTCCATTCTGTTCTGGTCTGGTCTACACTATTCTTTTTTTGAGACAGGGTCTCACTTTGTCGCCCAGGCCGAGCACAGCTCACTATAGCCTCGACCTCCCGGGCTTAAGCAATCCTTCTCTCAGCCATCCGAGTAGCTGGAACTACAGGCATGCACCACACCCAGCTAATTAAAAAAAAATGTTTTCTGGCTGGGCGCGGTGGCTCATGCCTGTAATCCCAGCACTTTGGGAGGCTGAGGCAGGTGGATCATCTGAGGTCGGGAGTTCGAGACCAGCCTGACCAACATGGAGAAACCCTGTCTCTACTAAAAATACAAAATTAGCTGGGCGTGGTGGTGCATGTCTGTAATCCCAGCTACTCAGGAAGGCTGAGGCAGGACAATTGCTTGAACCTGGGAGGCAGAGGTTGCAGTGAGCCGAGATTGTGCCATTGCACTCCAGCCTGGGCAACAAGAGCGAAACTCCGTCCCAAAAAAAAAAAAAATACTCCTAACTCACCCTCCCAAAGTGTTGGGGTTACAGGCATGAGCCACTGTGCCTGGCTGGCACTATTCCTATTTTTTTTTTTAGATGAGGGTCTCACTATGTTGCCCAGACTGGTCTTAAACACCCGAGCTCAAGCAATCTACTTGCCTTATCCTTCCAAGTAACTAGGATTACAGGCACATGGCTGTCACACCAGTGAGACCATGTGTCTTCCCCACTTTTGCATCCTTGATGACAGGCATATGATAGTGTTCATAACCCACTGATCTCTCACCAGTTAGTAGCCAGAGGAAAGAGTTTACAATACAGGCCAAGGGCAAGGAAAAGAAGTGCACCTTGAATGCTCTTTTTTTTTGAGATGGAGTTTTACTCTTATTGCCCAGGCTGGAGTGCAATGGCACAATCTCGGCTCACTGCAACCTCCGCCTCCCGGGTTCAAGCGATTCTCCTGCCTCAGCCTCCCAAAGTATTGGGATTACAGGCATGTGCCACCACGCCCAGCTAATTTTGTATTTTAAGTAGTGACAGGGTTTCTCCATGTTGGTCAGGCTGGTCTTGAACTCCTGACCTCAGGTGATCCGCCCGCTTCAGCCTCCCAAAGTGCTGGGATTACAGGCGTGAGCCACTGCACCCAGCCATTGAATGCTCTTCTATTCAGAGGTGCAAAGCCATCAGCCAATTTTAGACCCCTTGAGCTGCCTGAAATTTAATGAGAAGCTGATTTTGTTACCGTCTTCTTGCTTGTTTGCTCTTAGAAGAGCATCCATAACTTCCCATAACTCAGACAAGTCAAGGGGTTGAAAAGTGAGGCAAGAAAACTGAGCTGCACAGAGACAATGGGTAGAGCTGCCAGGTTATGAACTAGGCCAACATGTGACCTTCCCAGCAAAGCTCAAGATTCTGGTTCCCATTCCTGATAGGGCTCCAGAGGTCAGAGGCCAGACCCCAATCATTATGCAGCAATTCCAGACGGAGAAACTGTTTGGGGGCCTGAATAGCCAAATGTGCCAGTGGGAGGGTAAAGGAAGCACCTCCACCTTATTCTCTTAAAACAAGCACCTTTTGGTTGGAAATCATAGCTTTTCTTTTGTTTAAGTGGTAACTGGTAGAATTTTTATATTTACTTTTAGATTAACTATTTAAAGGAAAAATCAACTCATATGGTCAGGGGAGGAGAGAAGACACATATTATGGTTTTTAAAATCCAACTGTCTTTTCTTAGAGTTGGATAAAAGGCAGGAAGGGAGGCCAGAGGTTTTGCAGGGAAATCCCTTAAATATGCCTCTTTTCTTTTCTTTGCTTCATCAGCAAACATTTATTATGATATGCATATTACAATATGCAAGAATAGGTCCTTCTGCCTGAAATATCCTTCCTTCTTCTCCTCCTTTCCTTTACAGCTTGGGCCTAATCAACAACCATTTATTCTTCAGACCTCAGCTCCCTGAGACTTTTCTCCCTTGAATAGTGATAAGGCTTAAAATGCAAACTGCCCCCAAAACCTCAAGTGTGTGGAGGTATTATTAATCATTTGTAGATTTTTTGCTGAAGGCACTTTTGATGTGGAAGGGAGGAAGGGTAGAGAACAGGGGCTTGAAGTGAGTGGGAGGCGGGGGCTGTAAGGTGGTCCCATAGAGGGTAGCAGGGAGGTTTAGGAACGGGAGGCTGGGGATCTCACAGATTAATTTGGCCAACTTCTCAAGTTCTGAGGATGCTTGAAATTTAAATCAGATTTTTATCCTGGACATTCAGAACCTGATGTGGTTTTATTCCAGGTGAAGGAGAGATTAAAGTAGTCAGAGTGGGTTAGTACCAGATACAATTTAGGCTGAGAAGAGGATGTGCAAGCCCTTGACATCCTGGGGAGAATGGAGTGCTCACCATCTTGGGAAACAGTTTCCAACATCACAGTGGGCCAAGAATGTGGGCTTCAGAGTTGGACAGCCTGGGTTCACACCTTGGTATTTCCACTTATTAGTTGTAAGACTCTGGGCAATTTATTTGATCCCTCTGAGTCTCAAATCTCTCATCAGTAATATAGAGGTTAGAATAATAAGTACCTCATAAAGTGACATTTACAAACCCAATAAGGATAGCAAAAAACAGTTCTGGCACACAGTAGTCAACAGATGTTTTCTATTATAGGATTGGGTTATTCTGTAGGGAGGAAAATGGGGAATGAAATGGTAGGGTTGGGGGGATGGATTATAAGGGACGGATTAGGGTTGTGCAAAGAAGGACTTAGAGTTTAGTCGGGGGTAGGTGGTTGGAGGCAAAAGTGGTGTGTGGAGCCCTTACCTTGGTCCTCAAGATTTTTGGAATGGTGACATGCCAAAAGCCTTAGCGACACTTAAGAATACTGTGGTTTATTTATAAACAATATGTGGCTAGATAAAGGAATGGTCAGAAGGAGTATCTGGATACAGGGCTGGGGATTAGCTGACTCTGCAGGCTGTTGGCCTGTGCTCAGGAGTCAGGCCACTCTATCCCCTCCTGCTTAGTGTGGTCCACAGACCAGCTGCATAGCACCACCTGGGATCTTGTTAGGCAGAGCCTTGGGCTCTGCTCCAGTCCTGCTGAATCAGAATCTGCATTATAACAAGATTCCCGGGTGATTCATGCATATATTTAAGCTTGGGGGAGATGTGTGAGCTGCTGAGATTTAAAAACTCTTTACACCAGGACAGAATGCCATCAAGTGATGCTAAGAACCTGATTACATTCTAATTGTAAACTAACTTTATACTTTAGTGGGCTCATTCTTGAATAAAATCTTTGTATATGGACCAATAGCAGGAGGAAACCATATTACCAATGTGCCTTTGACGTATTTAACCTTCTTGACCCTGACTCACGTGGGTACGCGCACATGCATGCATGTACACACACGCACGCACACACACACACTATAACATCAGCACTATTCAGCATGAATTTTGATTACCAGACATAATTCTTGTATTAGTGATTCACTAGACATTCTCTAATGCATAATTTCTATTAATAGTCTTATTAAAAATTCCCCTATTGCCACTTACCAGGGGAGGCAGGAAATCAATTCAAACAACCTTCAGCAGTCCTGAAGGGAAACTTTTAGGTCTCTGTGCAGAGAATCCAATCCCAGAAGGACTGAGAGCCAGGTTAAAGAGTCGCCTGCTGTGTCCAGCATGGTTCCTTGAATACACCATTGCTCTGTGCCTCAGTTTCTCTTCTCCAAATGAGCCACATGATTGACAAAGAGGGTTTTAGCTTATTGAATAGACTCTCCCTTTCCTCTTTTGTTTTACTCTCCCTTTTTCTGGGTCCTAAAGAGACCCCAGGTTCTTTTAACTAGATGCTGGTGTCAACCTGAGAAGGTGTAGATTTAGACTCAGGCTAAGACAGTGAGGCTTAGAGGCTCAAAAAGTAGTTTGGTTACAGGGAGTGAAAGGGGAATAGAAGAAGCTAAAGGATTTAGTCCTTCTGCAAGCTCAATGCCAGCTCGGATGATACTTGAGAGTCCTAAATTATCTCATGCTCAAAGGTTTACAGTTCAGTCCACTGTGGATGAGGTATAAGTACCTTGCTTACACTGAATTACATGCCAAATGGGCCACTGGAATGCCTTTTTAATTTCTTCATTTCCTTATCATAGATGTTTCCATAAAATGAAGTCTACCAAGAACCTGTAACCATGCCTGATAGTCGGATACCCTGTCCCCATTGTTCTCACCTCCATCCCTTCGTGTTTTCTCAAGCCCCTTTACATGGACCAGGAAGGATCAATTCCATATGGAGTTACCTAGGATATCCTACCATGTATTTATGAATATTAGGACTGTAAAAGACTTTACAGTTCAGTAACTCCCAAATATCAGTTTATGAACCAGTACTGGAGTTCTAGCTTCTAAATAAAATAGTTTCCTAGACCCCATCACATATATTTTTTAAAATGCTGGCTGGCTGATTCTGACACTCTGACAGATTTCTGACTCACCTTTGCCCATTTATAGGTGAGTATAAGGCCTGCCACAAGCTCAAATCCCACAGCCAGGGATGGCAGATCCAGGTTCACACTTCCTCAGGTGTGGGTCAGGTGCCTACCTGCATTTCTAAGCCCACGTGTGTGTCAAAGAAGCAGAAGCCCTATAATGCTGAATCAAAAATAATCAAAAAGTAAAAATGTAAGGAACATTTCGATAAGGTGGCCTTGACTTTACCAGAGTTCTCCCCTGAAGGAAGGGAAGATCGATGTGTTTCAAACGTCCCTCCCTGACCCCTGCCCCCAGCCTGTACTCTGCCTGTCCCCGAAGCCTCACTGCTCCGAGGTTGGGGGAGTGAGGGAATGGACTATGTCTCTCCATGATTGCACAATTTCAGTTACTTCTAAATCTAGAAATATCATCTGCCTTATAGGCTGCCAGACTCCACTTAGGACTTATCAAAACAAACAAAGCAAAGCAAAACATAAAACCAGACCAAACAACAGCTTTCACTCAAGACTCCTCAGATGACCTTGGAAACCTTTGAGGCCCTCTCTTGTAGGTGACTGACCCAGCCCTCGGTTCTTCCCTTTGGGAGCTCTTTTCCTCCCTCCACATTGGTAATTTCTATGCAAGTGACTCTCAGACCTTCTTCTGAGCCGTTCCCCTTCCCTAGCACACATCCCACCAGGATGTCCTGTCATCACCTCCCTCTTCACTGCATCCTAACAGAACACAGCCCTCTCCATCCACATGTGTTGTCTCCAGGTGCCCCCATTTGGCTGGCGCTTTCACAATGCTTCTCATTTCCTAAGCTTGAAAATTGAAGGGAGGTTTCTAGTTAAGTACCCTGGACTCTATCATTGGTTTTGTCTTACGTTGGATAAAGGACAGAAGGAATTATTAAGTCTGTAGGTGGCATAAAGTTAGGGAAATTAGCAGATATGGTTGGCAGAACCAAGATCAAAATGTTCACAAGAAGCTATGAGGAAATATGGAAAGCAATATGATTATGTTTAATAAGAATGAAATTGTATTGCATTAAGATAAAAAAGTTACAATACTGTATTTTTCCACTTACATGAATGTCAGAAACAATTTTTATTTTTGTAAAATGAATCTATAGGGCTAGAAATCAGAATAGTGGTTGCCTCTAGGAGTTTGAAGAGGAGATTGACTAGAAAGGGACATGAGAGAAGTTTCTAGGGTGATGATGATGTCCTATATTGTGATTGGTGTATTGTTGCAGGAGTGTATTCACTTATTAACTAATGCTTGAGATCTGTGCATTTTATGGCACATAATTATAACTCAGTAATACAATACATGAAATTTCTTTGGAGTAAATATTGTTTTATTATTATTTTATATTGCATTATTCTTTAAAAAGTCATGGTATAAGTAAGAGATGGGGCCACAAGCATGCTACATTCCAACTGTGGAATGATTGGATAAAAAGGCAAGGCATTTTGCAATCCAGAGGTAGGGAAATGATGATGGTTCCCTGTTTTCTGTGCTGGCCAGTATAGTTCTGTGTGCTGTATCTAAAGAGGGACACTAGGCCAGGTGCAGTGGCTCATGCCTGTAATCCCAGAATTTTGGGAGGCCCAAGCAGGAGGCCTGTTTGAGCCTAGGAGTTTGAGATCAGCCTGGGCAATACAGTGAGACTCCCATCTCTACAAAAAAAAAATATAATAATTAGCTGGGTGTGGTGGCATGTGCCTGTGGTCCCAGCTACTTAGGAAGCTGAGGTGTGGGAATCCTTTGAGCCCAGGAGTTTGAGGCTGCAATGAGCCATAATTGTGCCACTGCACTCCAGCCTGAGCAACCTCGTCACAAAAAAACAAAGGACACTAATAGACTGAAAAACAAAGCTCAGAGCTGAAAAACCTGTTAGGAGAGGAGTTGAAGGAACTGAGAACATATAGACTGGAAACTAGGAGATTATGAAGACAGCTCAGATGACTGACTGTCCTTAAATATTTGGAAAAATGTTATATAGAGGAGAAGACTGTCTTTCCCTGGGCAGGGCCAAGGCAATTGTGGATAAAAGCTACTGAAAGACAGATTCAGCCTGACATAAGAAGGTCCATTCTATAAGGCAAAACGAACTAAATATGGAATGTGCTGTCTTTGACATAGGACTCCCTGGAAGTGTTCGGGCTGTGGCTAGAGAGCCAACTGTTGAGGACATCATAAGATTCTAATGTGAAGACCTATGGTTTCCTGAGAATCTGCTATGTGCCAGGCACTCTGCTAAAAGCCAGAGACAATCAACACCATAAGACATGGCAAAATAAATGAACAAATAAATAAAATAAAAGCCAGAGACAAAAATTAATGATATGATTATTATTCCCCAATAATTACCTAATATCAAATAATGCTTACTTCGTACCAGACACCATCCAAAGCAGTTTACATACATTATGACATTCCATTCTCAAAATAGTTATGAGGGAATGGTACTATTACATTCCTATTTTCATAAATGACACACACCACTCATACATGTTGAAGTCTGAAGTTGAACCTGACAAAGGGTGTGTGCACCAGCACGGGGACAGAAGTGGAGGCTCACCTCACAGACCGTGGAGGCTTCTTCCCCGCTAGGACTCTATCTCATGCAGACTGCAATCTTGACTCTGTATTGATTCAGCGGCAGCGCCTACAGAAAGGTCTGGGAGTGGGCGCACTGGACATTGCATGAAGGAGTTGGATTAAAAGAACCAGTTGGCCCCACCAATCTGGTAACTGTTTGGTCTTCATAGGATCTTCCTGAAGGCTGTACAACTTTGGTGTCCCATATGATAGCCACTAGCCACATGTGACTGTTGAGCAATTGCAATGTGGCTAGTCCAAATGGAGATGTGCTGGAAGTAGAAATTACACATTGGGTTATGAAAAAAAAAAGTAAAATGTATCATTTGTAGTTTTTATATTAAGGATATGCTGAAATGGTAATATTCTAGGTATATTGGGTTGAATAAAATATATTATTTAAATAGTTTTATTAAGACATAATGCACCATTTAAGATGTACACTCCCTTATGCTTTTAGCATATTTACAGAGTTATGCATCCATCACCACAATCAAGTTTAGAACATTTTCATGACCTCAAGAAGGAACCTCGCACCCTTAGCTACCACTTCCCAGTCCTCTCATCTCCCTGACCCCTTCTGCTAGGCAACCACTAAGCTGCTTTCTGTCTCTATGGATTTGTCTACTCTGGAGATTTCATGTGAATGGAATCATAAAATACGTGATACTTTGTGCCTGGTTTCTTTCACTTAGAATAATGTTTTAAAAGTTCATCCATGTTGTAGCATGTATCAGTACTTCATTCCTTTTTATTGTGTATAATATTCTGTTGTGTGGATATATACCAAGTTTTATTTATTCATTCATTGTCAACGTTGATGGGCATTTTGTTTTTTTTCTCTTCGACTTTGATGAATAATGCTGCTGTGAACATATATATATATAGGTTTTTGGGCGGGCACATGTATTCAGTTCTTTTGGGTATAGACTCAGGAGTGGAATTGCTGGGTCATAGGGTCACTCTATGATTAACCATGTGAGGAACTGCCAGACTCTTCCACAGTAGCTGCATCATGTTGTGTTACCACCAGCAGTGTATGAGAGTTTCAGTTTCTCTACATCCTCACCAGTACTTGTTACCTGTCTTATTCATGACAGCTATCCTAATGGTTGTGAAGTGGTCCTGCATTGTGGTTTTGATTTGTATTTCTCTAATGGCTAATGATGTGGATGATCTGTTATTGGGTTTATTGGCCATTTGCATATCTTCTTTGGAGAAATGTCCCTCAGATCCTTTTCCCATTTAAAAATTGGATTGTCTTTTTTATTATTGAGTTGTAATAGTCCTTTATATATTCTGGACACAACTTCCTTATCAGATGTGGGATTACACACATTTTCTCTCATTCTGTGGGTGGCCATTTCATGATGGTGTCCTTTGAAGCACAAATATTTTTAGTTTTAATAGATAAAAGGTCTAGTTTTTCTACTTTTTCTTTTGTAGCTTGTGCTTTTAGTGTCATATCTAAGAAACCATCAACTAATCCAAGGTCATGAAGATTTATACCTATGCTTTCATCTAAAAATTCTATAATTTTAGCTCTTACATTTAGGTCTTTGATCCATTTTGAGTAAATTTTTATATATAGAGGTGGGGTCTAACTTCATTCTTTGGCATGCGGCTATCCAGTTGTCCCAGCACCATTTGTTGAAAATACTCCTTTTTCTCCATTGAACTATCTTGGTACCCCTGTAGAAAATCAATTTACCATAAATACTAGGGTTTATTTCTGGGTTCTCATTTCTAGTCCATTGATCTACTTATTGTCTGTCTTTGTGCCAGTACCACACTATCTTGATTACTGTAGCTTTGTCATAAGTTTTGAAATCAGGGAGAGTGGGTCCTCCTACTTTGTTCTTTTTCCATATTATTTTGGCTATTTTGAGTCTCTTGAATTTCCATATGAAGTTTAGGATCAGTTTATCATTTTCTGCAATTACATCAGTTGGAATTTTATAGAGACTATGTTGAATCTGTAGGTCAGTTTGAGGAGTATTGCTATCTTAACAATTAAATCTTCCAATTCATAAACATAGGATATCTTTCCATTTAATTTAGGTTCCTTTAATTTCATCCAACAATCTTTTGCAGTCTTCAGAGTGATAGTTTTGCACTTATTTTGCTATTTATTTCTGAGGTTTTTTTGTTTGGTTGGTTTCTGAGAGACAGAGTCTTGCCCTGTTGCCCAGGCTGGAGTGCAGTGGCGCTATCTCGGCTCACAGCAACCTCCACCTCCTGGGTTCAGCTTCCCAAGTAGCTGGGACTACAGGAATGTGCCACCATGCCCAGATAATTTTTGTATTTTTTAGTAGAGACAGGGTTTGGGTTTCATTATATGTTGGTCAGGATGGTCTTAAACTCCTGACCTCAGGTGATCCACCCACCTCAGTCTCCCAAAGTGCTGGTATTACAGGCATGAGCCACCGCGCCTGGCCTATTCCTGAGTATTTTATTCTTTTTAAAATTTTATGTTAAAGAGACAGGGTCTCGCTCTGTCACCCAGGCCAGAGTACAGTGATGTGATCATAGCTCACCATAGCCCTGAACTCCTAGGCTTAAGGGATGTTCCTGCCTCAGCTTCCCAAGTAGCTAGGGCGTCAGGAATGCACCACCATGCCTGGCTTATTCTTGAATATTTTATTCTTTTGGTTTGTTTCCATAGTTTTATTTTCACATAGAATGTATTATTGAAAGAAATTTTCTGTATTTCTTTTTACTTTTTAAAATGTGACTATTAGAAAATTTAAAATTATATAAGTGGTTCACACCACATTTCTAACGGGCAGCACTGCACTAGAATAAAAAGGCTGAGATTAGAGAAAACAAAGGAACATAAAATAATGGGATATATTCAAGGTACTCATGACATTATGCCCCTGGAGCTACATGTGTGAGCTAAACTTGGTCTAGAATTTTCCCTATTATAGAAATCACAAATGTTGAAGGGTTCTGACTGCACTCAGAGAAAACACACCTAGCCGCTTGTTCCTATTCTACGTGGAGAGGCTTTAATCAGATGTAACCTGCAGGGTCTTCTGTGATTTCTCTACCGTTTGGGCTTCCAAAGGTAGTAAAAGTGACATTGCTTGAGCCCAGGCATGAAAAAACAGAAAAAAAGTAAGAAGACAGCTCACGTGATGTTTCTCTCAAGTCTTTTCACATTATATCCAGGAAAAGGAGTTCTAGTGTATCGTCATAGGCACCAGTCTGAAGCTTACTTATCTCATTGCTCCTGCCCCACCCAGTTGGCTCCCCTCAAGAAATTCTTCCTGGATCCTCTGGAGTTGGTATAGATTCCCTTTTCTGTGTGTTCCCATGATTTTCTTTCTTTTTTTTTTTTTTTTTGAGACAGGATCTTGCTCTGTTGCTCAGGCTGGAGTGCAGTGGTGTGATCTTGGCTCACTGCAGCCTCTACCTCCTGGGCTTACATGATCCTCCTACCTCAGCCTCCCAGGTAGCTGGGACTACAGGCATGCACCATCATGCCTGGCTAATTTTTTATAGTGACAGGGTTTTGGCATGTTGCCCAGGCTGGTCTCGAACTCCTGGGCCCAAGCGATCCGCCTGCCTCGTTCTCCTAAAGTGCTGGGATTATAGGCGTGAGCCACTGTACTGAGCCTCCACGATGTTTTCTAGAACATTTCCTACACAGAACTGACACTGCTCATTTACTTTTTTTTCTTCCCTATACACTGTAAGCCCCTCAAGCAGAGACAACTCCTTGTTACCAATGAACCACCTAATGAAGTGATTGGAATAAGTACTGAATGCGGGAGTAAATAAATGAGTACTATGCTCCTTCTTTCTTTAGAAGAGAACAATTTTACAGCATATATATATATACACACACACACACATATATATATATATACACACACGTACACACATATACATATATGTGTGTATATATATTTTGGAAGTATACTTTGGTTCAGTGGAAAGAGTATTGTTTGTTGTCAGGAAACTGACCTGAGTTCCAGTTCAGATTTGCTGCTTACTATCTGTGTGACCTTGAATAAATCTCTTAATCATCTCTGGACTTGATCTCTCATCTGAAAGAAAAGAGGGTTGAACTACTGAGCTTCAAGCTTCTGTCCAGCCCTAATATTCTGTGAGACTTGGAAAACAAGGCAAGTCTAGGGGTCAGACGTAGGCTCCCTTTCAGACAGGCAACTCAACGGAGCAGCTGAGATGCTCAGCCTTTCTCAGGGGCTTCCACCGCCTCCCCCTCCTCCGTGTCTTAGCAAATATTAATAGTCAAGGGTCTCGCTGAATGTGGTTTTTAATAGAATCCAATTTCAGTCCATTTAGAGTGGGACTTTTCATGCTGACTTGGTAATTTGAACTATGCCACGCCTGATGGACTGAATGCATTTTCCCTGCCTCCACTGCCCGCCCTGGGCTGCTGTGGAGAGAGTGCTGGCATTGAGACCAGGGAGTGGGGCGTCTTAAAGCAGCTGCAGACCAGCTATTTGACCTCACAGCCAGTCTTGTCTTTCCTGCCCTGAGGCATGTGATGAGGATACCAAGGGCACTGGAAGGGGAGTGGGCAATGGCTGTTCTATTTCCCGGCAATTGCCGTCTCCTTGCAGCTCAGAGGCTGCTGGCCTCTGGGTGGACTGTTAGGAAGAAAACAGCGTTTATCGTTGGATGTGACTGGAAGACAGCTGATTCCGAGAACCATCAGAATTATTCCAACTGATTGCTGTGGAGTCTCTTTGAAGCCTGGAGAGGCATGGGTTGGAGTATGAAGCTTCCTCTGTCTTTCTACTCCCCACCTCCAAGTACTTGTCCTGCTTGAGCAGAGAGTAACCCAAGGGCCTCTTGGAAGGTTCCCTTCCTTCTACAGTGCAGAGAGGGGGAATGTGGAAGGTGAACGTGCAAGTATTAGCAGCCACACTATAAACAAGGAAACTGAGGCCAGGGAGGGTGGGGGAAGGAAATAAATGTTTTTTCTGTGCTTATTCTGTGCCAGCCACTGAGCTGGGAGATACTTATTTCTTAGTCCTCCCCACACCCTTTTAAGGGATAAAACATTTTCCCCCAGCCTGGCCAAATTGGTGAAAGCCTCTCTCTACTAAAAATACAAAAATTAGCTGGGCATGGTAGTGTGTGCCTGTAATCCCAGCTACTCGGGAGGCTGAGGCAGGAGAATTGCTTGAACCTGGGAGGCGGAGGTTGCGGTGAACGGAGACCGTGCCACCACACTCCACCCTGGGCGACAGAGCAAGACTCCATCTTGGAACACAAAACAAAACATTCTCCCCATGTATGGGCGAGGAAAATGAGGGTCAGAAAAGTTAAACAACTGCACCAGGGTCACACAGCTAGCAGATGTTAAAGCTGGTATTCAAACAAAACTCCGTCTATCCACTGTAAAATGTCACATGGTTTGAAATAGTGGAGCGGCGTGCTCTCAAGTTTGCTGGGCCTCAGCAGTGGCCCCTTAACCTGGCTGGTTACCTCATGGCATTCAAAAAACTATCCTGAACACTATTCCTGTGAATCTGATTCAATGGGTCTAAGGTAGAGCCTGAGATTATGTATTTTTAAAAAGCTCTTCCTAGTGATTCTGATATCTTGGAAAGCACAGGGCTGCAGCACGTGGCTTCTCTTCTGACCCAAGTCTCTTAGGAGATCTTCATTTCTCAGAAGCACAGATCTAGTTCAGCCCTGCATTTACCTCCAGTAACATTTGCCACTGAACCCATTATTCCTTCATTCCAGGCTGAATGCTCAACGTTTTCTGAGTACCTACAATGTGCCAGGCATGGTGCTCAACATTCTGGCTGCAAAGATGAATATACCACAGTGCCTGCCTTGAGGGACACCCAGGGCGTGCGGGAGATGAATGTAAACTAGAAACTCTAATTTGTTGTAGCAAAAGCTAGGCTGAGGTAGGCTTGTGTTGCTTTAAGAATTCAGACTAAAGGACCAAGGAAGGCTTTCTAGCAGTGATCCTGAATGAAGGCCTATAGGAGTTAGCAAGGTAGAGAGGACTGAAGGGCTAAGGAATAGCCGATGAGGCAGAGGGAAGGAATAGCGTGGAAAGGCCCAGAGACCCAGCACAATGGCTCAGGGCGGCAAAAGAAGCTGCACAGCAGTGGAATGTAGGATACTTTGGGAAGAGGACCAGGAAGTGAGGCTGGAAAGATCAGTGGAGACAAAATATGAAAGACCGTGTGTGTTGTTAAGGAGTTTGGACTTTATCCTAGAAGTGACGAGGCGCTACTAAAGATTTTATTTTTCCTGAGACAGAGTCTCACTCTGTTGCCCAGGCTGGAGTGGAGTGGCGTGATCTCGGCTCACTGCAACCTCTGATGCCCAGGTTCAAGTGATTCTCCTGCCTCAGCCTCCTGAGTAGCTGGGATTACAGGTGCCTGCCACCGCACCCAGCTGATTTTTTTGTGGGTGTGTATTTTAGAAGAGATGGGGTTTCACCATCTTGGCCAGGCTGGTCTTGAACTCCTGACCTTGTGATCCACCCACCTTGGCCTCCCAAAGTGCTGAAGTTGTGGAGTGACATGGTCAAACTGTGTTTTGGAAGGGTCACTCTGATAGAAATAAGAGAATGAACTGTAGGCAGGAGAAGCTGGCAACAGAGGAACGAATTAATTGCAGAATTAAGAATTTATGTATGTCAAAAAGCACCATAAACAAAATTTGAAAGCAAAGCACTTGGAAAGCATATTTGCAGCATTTCTTGACAAAAATAATATTCTTAATAAAATTACAAATTGATAATAAACATACCAATATCAAATAAATAGAAAATTCACAAAGAAAGAAGTACAAATGGTCAATAAGCATATGAAAATGTTATTCGCGAAGAATCAAAGAAAGTTAAAATAACATTGACATACTATTATCCCAGCTACCAAATTGGGAAAGATTTGATAAGTGATGATACCTAGTGTTAGGGTGCAGGAAACAGGGTACTCTCTAGGATCCAAATAGGAGAGCGTTTTGGTACAAACTTTCTGGAGGGTGGTTGGCAACATGTATCAAAATTCTTAAAAATAGCCAAGCAAGTCTCTTCTTGGAGTTTATCCTAAGGAAATCGTTATAGACATGTGCAAAATTTAGCTACAAGAATGTCAGTTGCAACACTATTTACAATGAAGATTGGGAACAAATGAAATAATCACTATTTGAGGATTGATGATAAAAAAAGGGTCCATCCATACAATGAAGATGCTGTTGAGAAAGTTTGATATGCCGAAAATGTTCGTGATATTATTAAGTGAAGGAACAGAAGGAGCAAAAAACAAAAAGTGTCCAATATGCTGCCATTTGTGTGTGATAAAAGAATATATACATATGTTTGACAATGTGTAAGCATCTCCACTAGGATGCAAAATAAATTAGAGGGAAACTAGATGCTGGCAGACGGGGTAGGGAGAAGATTTACTTCTGACTACAGAGCAGTTTGTACTTTTTGAATTTTGTATCTGTGTAGGATTACATATTCTAAAATATAAATACACACTTGAAAAGTTATTAAAGAGTATATTCAGTGTATCCAGTTTTTGTTTAAAAAAATCCACAACTGTGTGTGCGTGTGTACATTTACACCAAAAAGAACTAAAAGGTATATTCAAAAGAATACACGTTTGTCTTGGGTGGTAAGCTTATGGATTGGATTTTGTCCTTTTTTTCCTAAAACTTCTACAATACACACATGATGCTTTCACAATAATTAAAAAGCGTTAGTTTTTCCCCCAAAGAGTCCATCGCAAAAGTCCAGGCAGGGGATGACAGTGCAGGTCAGATGCCTGATTAGTACTCCAGCTACATAGGTCAGCAGTGACATCCGCAACGTACGGAATTAAATCACAGTTCTTGTTTTGGGGAGGGATGAGGAGAAGGAAGCTGAAGATTTGGTAGGGAGAATGAACCTGGTTTTGTGCTCTAAAGCCTTTGTTGGACAAATGCACAGAAAATTCAGCCCTATCACCCCAAACATCAACCAATACCCCAGGTAGCTTTTTCTCTTTGGGATTATTTAACTTCAGGTCACAGTGAATGGAGTTCCAGTAAGCCTGTATATCTAAGTCACCAAACAAGCAGATGACCTGGACGCTTGTTCTATGAGGTTCTGAGAGGCTGTCTTCATTTCGTTCTGGTTTTTGATCTTTCTACATGGGATGGCTACAATCATATCCTGGATTGTCCAGCCCTGCCCCAGCACACTCATGTAAACAAGACCTCTCTCCTGTCTCTGCATAGGGAATAATTACTCGGAGTCCTTCCTGACGCACAAAGACCAAGGGAAGACCCTGGCAGTTTGAACTCATTCTCCAGGTGACCTCTACCCTTCTCTTCATCCTTCAGATCCTAACAAACCATCTGCCAAATCACAAACGTTCTAAGTTGGAGGCTTGGGAATGGGGGTGGGGGTGGGGGTCGGGGCGTTTGAACACATTCCCGTGTGGGGCCATAGGGTAGTTTTGGGTTAGGGTCATGTAAAGCCAGCTAGGAGGAAGAGGAAAGACAGCATAATATAGTAGGGATTGGGGAGAATGTGGCAGCTGAAATAGCTTCTTCCTTTTCCTCTTCTCCAGAGAGTGAGCTCTAGGTGAGTAATGGCAGGCCCCTCAATATTTCTAGCACCTTCCTGTAGCCCCCGTTGAAAGCCTTTGGGGAACTATGTGAATATAACTTACGCTGCTCTCTTCTGGGCCCCTCGGCTGTGATTGGATCCTGCCGTGGTGGGGCATCTGCTTACATAATTAACCCATATTTAACTTTGTGTTTCCTTTCGGTCTTAATTGTGACCCTTTCCCAATGCTGGGGATGGGTGATGAATGCTAGGTGAGTTGTTGAGATACATGCTGGCTCCATCAGTAAGTAGAATGAGCAATACACAGACATAACTATTGGACCTCAGCTGCCTTTTTCTGACCTGTCACTGCTCTGACTACTAGGGATTCTGGCCTCTGGTCTTTTGGGGCCCTTGAGTAAATACATAAGGAGGCCATGTACTATCACTGACATCATGAACACTTTTCAGGTTAATACATATTGTCCTGTTCTCAAATGGTTATAATTGCCCAATATTATACTTACAGAGAGGCAACTAAGTATAGCATAGATACTAGCCAGAGCTCTGGAGTCAGGCAGGCCTGGTTCAAATCCTAGCTATGCCACTAAAGGCCATGCAACCTTGGGATAATTAATTTTTCTGGTTTTCAATATTCTTACCCATCAAATGGGAACAGTATCCCAGAGTAACTGCATGAAAGAAATGAGATTATACATGTAAAGATCTGAAGATAATGCATTTAATAAATCCTAACTATTCACATTATTGCATCTGTATATATTTTAATTTTGTACAACATTGTCTTTTTCACTAGTCACACGAAAAATACATGAAAGTGCTCTGATAATTTTAAAGCATCATATAAATTAACGGTGTCATTGGTAATAATCTCATATGCATTTCTTAACCCTTCCATTTCCTTGAAGACTGAGACGACATCCCATGTCCCACAGCATATTGCACAATGATGGGCAAACAATATGCCCTCAGTAAGTGTTTCTTGTTTGACTGAAGCAACATGGCATAGCATAACGAGCACAGACATCAGGAGACTAGGCTGGGATGAAATTAGTTTAAGGCAGGAGAGCCAGTCTGCAGTCATAATTTATTCAT